>NC_000010.11:13343333-13494848 GCF_000001405.40 Homo sapiens | reverse complement strand
ACATTTAGAAAGTTTCACCTTTCTTTTAAGAAGACAGGGAATAAGACCTAGAGGTAAGATCTGGATGCCAGAGACTTGGGCTGTGTCTAGATTTGCAAAAGGAGAAGAAAAACTCAGATAGTCCCCGTGTTCCTTAAACCAAAACATTTTCATTTCTAATTGAGAATCATGAGGCTTAGCAAGGCCTGGGGCCTAGACCATCGTGATCATTATTCGAGGTCCCTTTGATTCTGAGGGTGCAGACCCAGCCTTGAGGGGGAATGCAGAGAGACCAAAGAGAAGTTCCCAACTCTGGCTGCACAGCAGAATCACTGGAAGAGCTTTCAGACAATGCTGTTTCCCAGGCAGCATGCCTGGAGGTGTCAGTTCACTTCGTCTGGGGTGGGGCTGAGGCATTTCAGTTTTTTTGTTTGTTTGTTTTTGTTTTTGTTTTGAGACATAGTCTCACTCTGTCGCCAGGCTGGAGTGCAGTGGCGTAATCTCGGCTCACTGCAACCTCCGCCTCCTGGGTTCAAGTGATTCTCCTGCCTCAGCCTCTCAAGTAGCTGGGACTACAGGTGCCCACCACCATGCCCAGCTAATTTTTGTATTTTTAGTAGAGACGGGGTTTCACCATGTTGGCCAGGATGGTCTCGATCTCTTGACCTCGTGATCCGCCCACCTCGGCCTCCCAAAGTGCTGGGATTACAGGGGTGAGCCACCATGCCTGGCCCGGCATCTCAGTTTTTTTAAACTCAAGTGATTCTAATGTACAACCAAGGTTGAGAACCATTGAGCTAGACTAATTACTGGTTTAAAAACTTCTGTGCTCTTATGTAGTGCAATTAGTTTGCTTCTAATATTTATGAATTGCTTTTGAATTTGGAGACAAAAATATCAGGATCAAAGTGTAAATATTCTTTATTTTCAGACTGATAAGAGGTAAGAGGAGGTGATTCATGTTTATATGCCTTTAAAGACCTTTAGTTTTCACTTGTCTTATAGGTTCATTTCTGTTGAAAAGCAGGGACATCCTATAGTCATATTTAGGAAGCTATATTAATACTTGAGGATTTAAACAATGATGCCATGTTTTCCAATTACACTTTCCAAGAGAGTATTTTTAAATGGCTAGCAAACATAACTTCTCAGAGTGCACCTGTGAGAACTGTAATTTACCATCCTGGATTTCTTTAAGTATAGAATCAGGTTGAATACTTGGTTCCTGTACTGTGCTTTTCATGTTTGGAACTGTTTCTAGATTTCACTGATTTGCTTGACTTGTACAGAATGATATTGCTCCTTCAGTTATGTGAAACCGAGGTCTAGAGAAGTAGCCTGGTCTGAGGCCATGTAGCAGGGTGCTCTGGAGGTGGTTGATGTGTGGAGAATATTTGTTTGGTGAGGAAGGATTCACTGGTCCTAATTAAGTAACTAATAGGCTTTTCCCACATGCTTACTGGTCCCTAATGTAGAATCATCCCAGACGGCTTCTTTTGATCAGTCTTGCGCAAATGATCATCACTGTCTCATCTTTATCAGTTTTGGCACCTGTAGATTATTAGGAACGGATCAGTCTAACCCCAAATGTAATCCTGAAACAGGATTACAAGGAAGCACAGCCGTCTCTATCTAAATTTAAATCCCGAAGTTCTCATTTATTTAAAAACATCCTATGATTTATAAAGCCATGCTCAGGTGTTTTCTCACAGCTCATGATCCTTTCCCTGCATTGAACCCAACAGCAGTATGCTGTCACGATTCACCTGCAGTAACGCTTTCTCCTGAGTATTTTTCTGCCTTTAGGACTTGAAAGTGCTTCAGAGCCTGCGTTTGGTAACCTTTAGGTCCAGTTGGAGATTTATTTAGTGTGCTTCATCCTGGAGTTTTCCTCGTTTCGGTTTCAGTTTGTAGATCACATGGATAGACCGGAGATAAGTTTTCCTAAGTCAGACACACGTGCCTGTACCATATTTTTGTTTATTATTCGCAGTTGGAACTCAAAACAGACAACAACCTCCAATTTCCCTTATATGCTCCCAGCGAACTGCTGTCTCACGAAAGAGAAATAAAAAGAAAAAAGTGCCCCCAAAGACTGTGGAACCTCTTACTGTGAAACAGAAGCCCAGTGGGTCAGAGATGGAGAAAAAGTCGGTGGTGGCCTCTGAGCTATCTGCTCTCCAGGCAGCCGAGCACACCTCCCCGGAGGAGAGCCGCGTTCTAGGATTCGGCATTGTTCTGGAATCACCTTCCTCAGATGTAAGTTGCCATTTTCTGGCTGCTGACTCTAATGCTATGTAACTTTTGGGAATTTTATAGTATTTATAGATTTCCCTTTTGACAACTAGAGAAACTTGCAGACTATATGTGGGAAAGAAGAAAAGAAGACTGGTAATAATTTTCTTGTCTGGAGTTTTCTTTTCTGAAAATGTGATGCCTTATTTATTTAGACAGGTTTCCAGTTTTTGTCTCCGAAAGGAGGAGGGTGATGGCGTAAATAATCTGCTCACTAATTTCTTTTGCATTTTTAATTTTGCAGTGACAATTTTCAATTTCCTTAGTGTAGAGACCTAAAAGAATATAATTAAATCCTTTGTAGATGGGCATAAATGAACAGGGCCATACAGATAAGATCGCACCTTTCTGGAAACACAAACTAATAATAAAAAAGGAGCAGTCATGCTAATTCTATTTTATAGATGCAAGCCACACCACTAATTAGGTGGCAGCGCCATGCCATTTACTCCGTGTAATGATAGGTTAAGGCTCTGCAAAGGTTTTTCTATTTTAATATCACAGCCAGAATGTTGCCGCAGTCCAGAATGTTGGATGACATCCGAGATAACCATCTGACTTGCTATTTTACATTCATAGGACCATAAACGAATGTGTTTAATAGTGCACTATATTTGCAATTGCATTTCTATTTACAATGTCTTTCTCTAAGTATGTTTGTGTTGTGAACCTTAACTTGTTGGGAGAGTTCTTAAAATAAACAAGAATGGGGGATCTGTTCTTATCAGATTGCATAGGACGAGAATCCTGCTGCGAACTCCCGCAGGCCTGTATAGGATTGGAGGTTGGCCATACCTTTTAAACTTTAAGTAGGAAACAAATTGCTTTTTAAAAAAGTTTTAAAAATTTTGAAAGAAATTGTGGGAAGACAGTTTGCTAGGGTATATCCACATTGGGTTTTTAACAAAGGGAGGGGACAAAAATCATCATCTTGTGACTTTTTTAGATTGGAAAGTTGTTGGAACTTTTACCTAATTCTCGGTGTTAAAGGTTCTTTTTTTTTTTTGAAATCTATAAACACTTGCTACAATTGTTAAGAAGTTCATCTAGTCTAAAAATTTAATTTTAAAACATCATTAATGATGATAACGTTCTATGCTGGACCAGTCAGCTCATGCAATGATATCATATTGCTATTGCAACTAGGGCCCTGAGTCAAACCCCAGGTAGATCACATATTCGGAAACAGAGGTAAATTATTCCTCAACACAAAGTACATTCAGTCCTTAAATTTTCTAAGCATTTTTTTTTTTTTTTTTTTTTAGACAGAGTCTCGCTGTGTCGCCCAGGCTAGAGTGTAGTGGCATGATCTCCACTCACTGCAACCTCCGCCTCTTGGGTTCAAGCAATTCTCCTACCTCAGCCTCCTGAGTAGCTGGGACTGCAGGTACTTGCCACCACCCCCGGCTAATGAAAACTCAGTTAGCTGTTGATTGTCTTGGAAGAATAACATGCTTCTAAAGAAAAGTGAGGCCAGGCATGGTGGCTTACCCCTGTAATCCCAACACTTTGGGAGGCCAAGGTGGGCAGATCAACTGAGGTCAAGAGTTCGAGACCAGCCTGGCCAACATGGGAAAACCCGTTCTCTACTAAAAATACAAAAATTAGCTGGATGTGGTGGCACATGCCTATAGTCCTAACTACTCGGGAGGCTGAGGCATAAGAATCACTTGAACCCAGGAGGCAGAGGTTGCAGTGAGCCGAGATTACACCACTGCACTCCAACCTGGGTGACAGAGGGAGATTCCGTCTCAAAAAAAAACAAAAACAAAAAAACAAAATCATAGGATTGGGCAAGTGGCCCAGTGTTGCTAGAACAGCTGTCTGGCTGGCATTGGTAAAAGCAGGGTGGGGTGAGAGAGTGAAAGTCCAGGTGAGGCCTTCAGCCTTTATCTGTGGGCAGGAGGGAGCCATTGCAAGTTTCCAGTAAAGGAAGAATTGTGCCTGAATCTTAGAACCGTAGCTAGAACAGCATGCGGCTGACAGAAAGATAGAGATAGCCGGAGGAAGATGCATGCAGCCTGCCAGGCAGGAGATCAGGAGGGCTAGACAGGAGCAGTGAGCCTGGAGAGGAGAGCATGGAGAGACATTCAGGAGGGACACGGGGACTGAGTGGGAAGTGAGCCCCGGATTCCCATCTGGGAAACTTGCTGGGTTACAGCTGCAGCTGAGACTTCAACTGAGACGCGGAGAGCAAGAGCAGTGCAGGCTTTTCAGCTCTGGATGGGAAGGAAAAGTGAATTTCATATCCTCAACACGTTTGCTAGACACCTCGAGCACAGGAGAAAGATTAGCACTGGAAACGATGAAAAGTGACACTGGAAACCCATGCTTTATCGCTTTTGTAAATATAAAAAAGCTTACAGTGTATAGAGTTCCCTTTTTGCGTTGTGACTCGTAGTGTCACCCAAATGCCAATGTATATACCCATGGCACAAACACAAACATAAGGGCCCACAAGGGGCTGTCAATCATGGCAGATCAGCCACTGTCTTCAAACTGATAACAATAGTCCCTACTCAGATGCAGAAAAACACTAAGTTCTAATCAGAACCAACCAAAATGTCAAAAATGGCAGAGTGTTGTGAGCATCAAATGAGATAGAGTATATGGGAAAATCCTGTAGCAGTGCCTGGCACATAAAAGGTACTCAGTAAATGTTATTTGTTTAATCTGCGAAGGAGGAAACATCTGCATTTGCATTAAGCACAATATACAAAATAAACTTGGGAAACATTAAGTTTAGGACTTAGCTTTAAGGAGAGCCCCCTCCTCAATTTCACTGCAGTTTACTTGTTTTTTCCTGTTCCTCCTCTCTGTACCCACCTACTCCCCTTCAAGGCTCTACTGTGATTTGAACGATCCTCCTGGATAGAACTTCTATACTGTTTGGTAAATATACAAACAGTATATTTTGTAAATAGTTTGTAAATATACAAACAGGATACACGTTAATGCATCCTTCCACCCCAGCTTCTCAAGAGCAGAGACTGTGATTAATAATAATAATAATAATAGTAATAGTATTCATGCGCCATCTTTGAGGTATTCTTCTTATCCGCTTTCTACGGGCAGCTTGCACAAGTTCACACAGCCAAGAAAAGTGGAGTGTGTCCCGCAACCCAGGTCTGTCATCTGCCCTTGTCCACTGCGCAAAGGACTTGCGGGTGCCCATTCTAGCCCAATGCCTGTGTGTGACGAACACTCAGTCACTGTTGAGGGGATGATTATCATATGAAAGAACTGAAAGTTTCAGCTGTGGCAGTTGTTTCTTTTTACTTGGAAGTTTCTTGGGGAGAACTTCATGGGTCAGGGAGCAGGCTCTTAGGTCAGGCTGCCTGGGTTAGACTCTCAGCTGTGTGACCCTGAGCAATGAACCTGACCCCTCCCCACTCCATTTCTCTCTGTAGAATGGGGATAGCAAGTGCTTCCCTCCTGGGATTGGCCCATTGGAGGAATTAGATGAAGTCATCCCTGTGGAGCACTTAGAACAAGGCCTGGCCCATTTTAAGCACTCAATAAATATTAGTTCTTTTTTTAACCTTAGCATTCTTACCTCAGTGTCTTTATGGGAATAAATATTTTAAAATAAAACTTATCTATATCTATCAGTAAAAAAATACACGTGAACAAATAGTGTTTTTAGAAAGGGAATAGCCTGAAATATTTCTCTTTTGGGCAGGATTATTTGACCCTTTTAAAAGTAGCACATTAAATAAAATTCAAACCTCAACTATACACAGAAGCAGACACCCAAAACTAAATTTCAGATCTAAATACAGTATTTAGGCCGGGCGCGGTGGCTCACGCCTGTAATCCCAGCACTTTGGGAGGCCAAGGCGGGCGGATCAGGAGGTCAGGAGATTGAGACAGTCCTGGCCAACATGGTGAAACCCCGTCTCTACTGAAAATAAAAAAAAATAGCTAGGCGCAGTGGCGCATGCCTGTAATCCCAGCTACTTGGGAGGCTGAGGCAGGAGAATCGCTTGAACCCGGGAGTCGAAGATTGCAGTGAGCTGAGATTGCACCGCTGCACTCCAGCCTGGCGACAGAGCAAGACTCCATCTCAAAAAAAAAGAAAAAAAGAAAATACAGTATTTAATTCTTTCTTCATGAGTTCACAACCCAATACTCTACCAATACTGAGAGAAGACAGTTGTTAATTTCTTATGGTCGCTGTTTTTCAAGATTATATATATTGATTTGTGTTTTTCAGGGCAGATATACATGGCCTAAGTTTGTCTTGTTGTTGTTACTTTTCGTTTCTTGTTTTTCAGCTTGGTGAAACAATCAGATTAGTTTTTAACAATATTTTAAAATAATTTTTAATAATAGGAAATGTTTTTCTATCTGTTGTAGTTACTATAAATAGTCTCCAGTAATACTAGATTATGCCAGTTTAAAAGTTTTCAGAAGATAAATTGTGGATATTCATCAGAATATCTGTATTGGAAATCTGCTTGCTTGCTTTTTTTTTTTTTTTTTTTTGTAATTGAGACAGAGTCTCACTCTGTCGTCCAGGCTGGAGTGCAGTGGCATGATCTTGGCTCACCTCCAGGGTTCAAGCAATTCTCCTGCCTCAGCTTCCTGAGTAGCTGGGACTATGGGTGCCTGCCACCATGCCCAACTAATTTTTGTGTTTTTAGTAGAGACAGGGTTTCACCAGGTTGGCCAGGCTGGTATCGATCTCCTGGCCTCAAGTGATCCATCCGCCTCGTCCTCGCAAAGTGCTGAGATTACAGGTGTGAGCCACCATGCCCGGCCTTGAAATCTGTTTTCTTAACAACTTCTTAGCCCAATAGATAAAGTGATCCACTGGGATCAAGTAAAGAAAACCAAGCAAATGATTTTTTAAATTTACTCATTGACACATTGAAATTGAGGCCATTGGCCAGGTGCGGTGGCTCACGCCTGTAATCCTAGCACTTTGGGAGGCTGAGGCTAGTAGATCAGCTGAGATCAGGAGTTCGAGACCAGCGTGATCAACATGGAGAAACTCCATCTCTACTAAAAATATAAAATTAGCCGGGCGTGGTGGCGCATGCCTGTAATCCCAGCTACTCAGGAGGCTGAGACAGGAGAATCGCTTGAACCTGGGAGGCAGAGGTTGCGGTGAGCCAAAATCGCACCATTGTACTCCAGCCTGGGCAACAGAGCAAGACTCCGTCTCAAAAAAAAAAAAAAAAGAAAAGAAAAGAAAAGAAATTGAGGCCATGTATGCCTGAGAGTGTAAGTTCCAGCACAGGCTGCAGGAGTTCAGATCTTTGCTTCATCGTGTATTAGCTGGATAATCTTAAACAAGTTACTTCACTTCTCTGAGCCGTGGTTTTTGCAACTGCAAACTGGGGATAATAATAGTAGCCATTTCATAGGGTGAAAATCAAATTAGAAAAAATCTGTATGATATGTGTTAGCCTAGGGCATGGAATATAGTAAATAGCAAATAAATGTTAATTATATTGCTGTTTTCCAGGGCATACTGAAGTGTGTGAAATAGTCCCTGCCCTTGAAGGAGCACATGAAGGAAAATTCACAAACAGTAATTATAATAGCATAGGACGTCAGCTGTGGCGCAGGCAGTCAGGTCACCTGGGAGCCTGGATAGTCTCTCAGAGTGGACATCTTGGAGGAGCCATTTCAGTGGCCTTAGGAGAGAAGCTAAATTGCAGTGGTTAGACTCTTACATATTGTACATTTTGGCTCAAATATCTTTAGCATAAATCAAGCCCTAGTCTTCAGGGTCATTAATTTATTACCTGAAGAAGGAAAAAGCTAAAAGCATCTCTAAAAGACGGGAATGTCTCATTATGCAAGTACACGGAGAAAATTTCAAGGGACCAAATTGTATTCTCTTCTAAAATTAAATGCTTAGCTCTACCAAAATATTGTCAACTAAAAATGTCTATAAAGAATTGGCTGTTGGATGATTTCTTTTCATTTTTATCCCATTCAACATTCACTATAGGCTATCGTGTAAATTGCACCTACTTTTAGATAGGACTTTTGGCGGAGCATTTTTTGCTTAATGAAAAGAGGGCAGCCACCTTCCACTATGAGCCTTGACGTAGGACACGAGCATGCTCCTGTCCCATCCACACTGCGGCTCAGGCCCACTGTGTCCCCAGGCCACCTCTGTTCTGAGCTGCTCAACAGGAACAGCCATGCTGGTGAGCATCTAGTCCCACATGCTCTTGTGGCTACCCTCCTCATGGGCTATATTCTCAGCATAGGATTTAATAAATGACAGGCTGAGCATGTTGGCTCCCGCCTATAATCCCAGCACTTTGGGAGGCCAAGGCAGGAGGATTGCTTGAGGCCAAGAGTTGAAACCAGTCTGGGCAACAAAGCGAGACCCCCCTCTCTACAAAATATATAAATACATACATTTTAAAAATTTGCTGGGCAGGGTAGCACATGCCTGTAATCTCAGCATTTTGGCAGGCTGAGGAGGGAGGATCACTGAAGGCCAGGAATTCAAGACCAGCCTGGACAACATAGTGAGACTGTGTCTCTACGAAAAAATTTTTATTTAAATTAACTGGCCACGCACTTGTAGCCCAAGCTACTCAGGAGGTTGAGGTGAGAGGATCACTTGAACCCAGGAGCTGGAGGCTGCAGTGAGCTGTGATCCCACCACTGTACCCCAGTTTGGGCACCAGGTTGAGATCCTGTCTCTAAAAAATAAAAATAAAATTTAAAAATAGAAAATAAATGATAATAGTGATTCTTGCTATGTCCACCTGGGGCAGACCTGAGTTACAGGAACATTTAGTTTTTATCAGACAGAAGCATATCACATTTATGAACAAAATTAAATCAATTATGGGGGAGGTTTGTGTTTTAAAATTTCTTTTCTTAAACTGAAGCACATTTTCCTCAAAATACATCTAATATACTACGAAATAAACACAAGAACAAAAGATCATTGTATATAGTGGTATGGACATAGACTAAATTCACATCCTTTAAGCACTCTTATGAATCCTGTTATAGGCTTTTCAGCCCCAAATCAGTTAGTCTTGTTCAGCAGGATCCTGCCTCTTCATCTGTAGTTTTCTTTCAGCTTTTGGTCCTGAGCCAACCTGAGACTGACCAGCCAGCCCAGCCCCCCAAATCCCCACCAGCATATGACCTAGTCCAAACAGCCCTGTGCACGTGCCTGCAAAGGTGACCCTATATAATACACAGAATCTGTACACTATTAATCTGCCATTGAAAATCTGGGGTTAATGCCCAGTATGATTATTTGTGCACTTCTTTTAACCAGTGACCACATGTAGCTTTTTATGTATCTTACTGTAATTTACTTATTAATACCTTACTAATACCTTATATAAAATAGCCTATGATAGAAATAGTCCCTCGGTGGTTAACTAGCATGATCTCCTAAAAATTGTCTTACTTTGTATTCTTTCGATTATACAGGGGAGTCACGTGATGTGCTCATGGGGACTTGGGAGCCTAACGGGGCAGAGGGGTGGGGAAGGCGCATCTTCATTTACCTAGTTAGGAGATTCCCCAGCCAAACTAGATCTTAACCCCAGCTACTTCTAAGCAAAGGGAGACCACAGTTGAAATGCAAAGAAACAAATTCGTGAAAGTCCACAGGCCTGGATCCAGGACATTTTCAAGAGTGTTGGTGACTGTGTATGCAGTGTTTGCCTCCAGAACTTCACCCAGTGTGAGATGAATAAGGAAGAGTCAGCATTTGATACATTGTTGTACTAAGTGGCCAAGATGCCTAAAATAGGCAGGACATAGATGAAAATCCAAATTTATAGTAGGAATTCAGACTCCCAACTCTTAAAATCATGACTCTAAGTGTCTTAAATCCTGCCCCAACTTTAGATTGTTATTTTGAACTGTTCGTTTAGACATCATCATTTAAAAATCGTATTACTTCAGTAATCACTAAAATCTGTAAATTAACATATTCGCTTTCTACTTTGGCTTGAGTATCAAATTGTGAATCTGTCAAGAGAAGTCTAGTTTTCAAAATGATATTCATTTGGAAGAGTGTTGGTTTCTGTCATAGCTATCAGTAAGCAGAGAGATCTCATTTAAACTAGAGTCAGTAAACTAAGAGATTTCAATGATACAATTAAAGAAAGAGCTTTATCCTGTTTTTAAATATACGTACAAAGATGTGGATCATTATGTGATAGTAATCCACTGTGATTACATTTATCAAATGGAGGAAATAAAAAGATTTCTTAGTGAAAATGTGAGATTAGTGAACGTCATCTTTTCTTCATGTTTCAGAAAACAAAGCTGCCCTCTTTTGTTCTTTTAAGGCGTTGTTGCCTTGCGGCACCTGGCACACGTAGATAGCATTGGCGCTTGTTCACTCCTGGCTTAGAAATCTGAATAGGAGACAGGCCGAGAAGAACAGGAAGGACAGAGCCCAGTCACCTGTGCCCCGGCTGCCGCTGCCACCACCGCCTCCACTAATCAGACTACTTCCTCCTTTGTAAGGTGCTTGCAAAGGGGTGAGTTCATGTTCCTTGATCTGGAAAGAACAGTTCAAAATAACAGTATTTGGCAGTAGAAAGTGGAATGGAAAGCAGTGACAGCATCTGCATTGGAAGTCTCTTAGCTCTGCAGAAACTTCCAGATACTTAGTTGTTAGGAGTTGTGGCAGATACCAGAAACAGCGGCTGTACCTGTCTCCTGAATCCTACCTTCAAGATCCTGTTAAAACACTGTCCTATCCCCTCCTGAGCCCCAAGAGCCCCCTTCCTCCCGTACCCCCAGCAGCCAAGTCCTGCCTGATGCTGTCTCAGACAGCACTTGCTCTGTTCTCTCTCATGTTTTATCACGTTCGACTTTATAGGATAGGTATTTGTGCATATGTCTTGCCTGCAGAACCAGCCTTCAGATTCCTACACATGGAGGGGGCTCAGTGAGTAGGTATTGAAACAGCTGGGTCACTGTTCTCCAGGTCACCCAACTCCTGGAGGTACCACATGAACTGTTAGAAGACACAGGTGTGCTGAGCACAGCGTGGCAAACTTTCAAACCCACTTTCTTTATACAGGGATAAAAGATCTGTGAATCAACACCAGTCATTTTAAATGAATTCTTACATATTGTTTTGTTTATTCTAACAAATATCTATTGGGCAGTCAATGGGTGTTTGACACTCCAAATACAAGAGTCCTCATCCCAATGACAAATGCAAACTCCCAGCTAAGCAAATGCTGTGTGAAAAGTGCTGTAAACAGAGTTCTTAGAAACAGTATGAGCGCATGAAGAAGGGAGTGGCCAGTTCCGCCTGGTAGCTCATTCAGGTCAGTGTTTTTCAAACTGGGGTCCATGTTCACAGGATGAATCAAAGGGGAAGTCTCAGAGGTCAGCGTTTTAAGTACCTGTTTAATGGTATCAGAATCAAACTGAGATTATATAAGTAACTAGTGTCCTTCCCCTTCCTCTCTTGCCATTAAGAGTGTCTGAACCACACTAGATCCTCAAATAGCTGTGATTAGCTGCTTCTGTAAGATAAACTTGGATTTGTTTTAATGGCTTTCAAATGATACAGGAGCACTTAGCAAAAATCCAAGATCAGTTCATTTAGAACAAAAGTTCTAAATGCAGCATAGGATGTGCAAAATAAAACTCTGGTTATGAATAAAACTTCATCTTAGATTATGATGGTAAAATTCTCTCAATCCTAATAGTGTCTACATTGAATCATTCAACAAAGACATATTGAGTGCCTGGTATGTACCACCTCTGTTCTGGGATCTAGGGATGCAGCCTCCAGCTCAGACAACCTCCTCTGGAGACCTGGAACCAGCAAGCAGCAAGATGCAGAAGTTAAGGGGAAAACCTGACAGTATAGCTGTGTATGGTGATATTCACCAAACATTCAGAGACCAAACATGGAATGGCAAAGTGAAGCAGAAGTGTGAGATGACTTTCTGGATATTCCAGTTAAAAGTTCTATTTTGGAGGGACCAGGCCCAAACTCCTTCCTGTGTCATCCAAAGAATTGAAGCTATGCTCTGAGCCCTGTTTACTTTGACCATAGGTGGGGTGGCATGTTGAAAAGTGATAGGACAAAATCAAAAATAATCATTCTTACTATCCAGGAGAGAAATTCATCCCGGATCCTCACATTTCTGATGTGATTAGAAACTGCAAAGCAGGGCCAGTTTTGCAGAGTGGTGAATAGGAGATCTAAGAATCAGCTTTGATAGCATGTCTTAATTCAGTGAGGTTTTCTTCAGACTTTTTTCCTAACAACAGTTTACCAATTGCATTTCTTCATATTAAAGTTATTATTTTACAGCTACCATGTCATAACCAACAATAAACTAAATGACTTAGTAGTGCAGGTTATGACTAATGAACTTTCGTCTATTCCACAAGAAGTTATGGAGTGCCTGCTATATGCCAGATCCTAGAGATACAAAGTCTGAGCTTCAGGATCAGGGAGGGCTGCAATCTAATAAATAATTCTAATACAGTGTAAGAAATAGAATCATATGTCTGCTAAATGAACAGCAGGAACAGAGAGTTGTAGCCACCTCCATGGGCAGGAAGGAGTTAGGAGATCAGTTCATTTGGAAGGCTTTGTAAAGGAAAGGGTATGAACTGGGTTGAAAGATTCAAAGGTGAGCTGTAAACCTCCTGGCGTGCTGTTGGAGAAGGCGTGCTGAGCGCCGAGCGTGTGCGATAGCGTCCAAGTTGAAAGGCACCTTGGACGTCCTCTGATTCCGTATCCCAGTCAGGATGTCCCTGCCAGGGAAGCAGTGTGCTAGCACATTGGTTTTCCAAGAGTGATCTGGGACATAGTTTCACATTTTCCTTCCAAAATTAGGGATGGGGAGTGGATTTAAACTGCCTGGGAAACCTGCTCATCGTTTTTACTTATTTTACATATTAGTTTACAAAAGTTTTCATTGGGGAAAAAAAATATCTCTGCAGCTAAAAGCCACTGGCATAGTAGAAGGAGCCAGGGGCCTTCTGGGTTAGCCCCGTATCTGTGTCCTTAGGGGAAAGAAATTAAGTTATTTAGTGTATGAGAAAGTGATCTGTAACTGTACTGCACTGAGCACATTTGAATTATTTCTCAATCTTTTTTTTTATGATCTCTTTGGGCCTTAGTTCCTTTGTTTACAAAATGAGGATATTTCATCCAGAAGTCTCAACTCCCTGTTAGCTCTAGAATGATAGGATTTTGTGGTTGTCCAGGCTTCTCTTGGCTATTTTCTTTCCATTGCTTTTGACAAGGCTCAATATTGGAATTAGAGCATCTTGTTTCATAAGTTATAACTAGTCCTTGGTTTTATAAATAGCAGATCCTGGCAGACAAAGAAAGCCAAGAGTGTTTTCATTTGTAGGATATGTACATTTCAGTAGCTAGTGATGTTTTTTTGTTGCTCATGTACCCAAAGTCAGATGCTTCAAATCTTGCTTTTAATGAAATATCTGTGTTCTTTTGGTAGCCAGAAGTACAACTTGCTGAAGGCTTTGACGTGTTTATGCCTAAATCTCAGCTGGACTCTATATTGTCAAACTACACTCGCTCAGGAAGCCTTCTGTTTAGAAAACTGGTGTGTGCGTTTTTTGATGACAAGACTTTGGCTAACTCCTTACCCAATGGGAAGAGGAAAAGAGGACTCAATGACAACCGGAAAGGACTAGACCAAAATATTGTGGGTGCAATAAAAGGTTGGTCTGCATCATTTCATTTTGTGGGTTCTTCGTTGAGCTTTCCCTTCATTCCGTAACGATGCAGCTGAAATTGTAGTAAACTGACTAGTGGCCAGTTTCATTTGCCATTGCCAATTTAGCCATTCACATGGCTTTCGGGTGTGAGCTCTGTAATTCACCACCCCAAGTACCACTAGAATTCATTATTCAAGGTAATGTTAATTTGTTGAAATAATAATTTAAGAGCCAGTTTGACCTGCTGCAGAATCAAAAAGAAGTTTTTTCTTGACTTTTAAAATGCAGGTAATTTGTAATTTCTAAGAGCTTCCTCAGAATATGACTTCAACTTAAAGTTTGAGTTATGAGAATAAAGCTATGATGCTTCTTAAAAAAAAAAAAAAGATAAAGTAAAATGGTTCTCTCTGAAGTTTAGAGTTGCTTTACCAGGTTGTTGCTTCTAAAGACATTTTAAATCTAAGTGACCTTACTGTGACATCAAACCCTGTGCGTCCCCACACATGCCTGGCCCGCTCTTCTCCCTCTTGTTTTGTGCCGTGGAGTCATGCCAGCTCCATGCAGAGACCACCGTGGGTCTCTCCCCCTTCCCTCCTTTGAGCATGCATCTGTATTCCACTGCACTACGATGACCATGCAGGGGCACGTGGGAGCACCTCTGCATTTATATCCAGTGCCACATCCTAAACCTACTTCTCTTAACTTTAAAATGCCCATATTAAGCAATCTGATGAGTGTAACTTTAGGAAATAGAAGTACTTAGTTCTTACCAAAAAGAACATAAACCAAGTCTCAAAACTAAACACAACTCCATGAAAAATGAGACTCTGAATCAGGCCTTGCTTAAAACTGGAATAACGGATAGGGGTGCTGTGCTTCCTAGCTCAGTTCCTGCATTGTTGAGTTGTGAAGTGGGACTGACGCAGAGGGCCTTCTCTGCCCCCTTCTGTTCCCCATTATCTGGCAAAATGAGTAAATGAATTCAGTAGTGTTTAAAGGATGCTTGAAAGTCCACAATTAACTTTATAAAATAATACGGTATTTAAATGGAACTAGCAAGTACCAAGCACCCTTTGTTCATGGCCAGAAGGACATAAGCCTTCATTAACAGAGAATTTCTCATGCTCAATCAGAATTTTTTCACTTAAAGTGACAGTTGAGTTGTATTAAATATGAAAAGCTACAGAGATATCACAAACTGTGCCATTTCTGAAAAGAGTGATTCAGCCTGAAGTGACACTACAAACAACATGACAGAATTTGAAAAATGGTCAATGATGTAAGTAGGACTTCCTGAAGTGAAGAAGGGTCCCTTCTCAAAACAAGAAGGTCAAGGCTACTGGTGCTTTTCTGAAATGCAGCGAGGAATTGTTTTAATTTTCTTTTTTTTTCCCCAGGGCAGCATATTAATATTATGAAAGCATTTGGAAATTAGGGAACCATAAATGACCATAGTCCATTTTAATGACAGTAGAAGAGTCATCCTAATAATAGATAGTAAAGAAATAGATTGTGACAAGTGGATCGATGTGGGTTTCTTCTGCCATTTTCCATCTACACTAGACATGCAAGAGTTTGAAAAAGTATATTACAGGCCAGGCGCGGTGGCTCAAACCTGTAATCCCTGCACTTTGGGAGGCCGAGGTGGGTGGAACACTGCAGGTCAGCAGTTCAAGACCAGCCTGGCCAACATGGTGAAACCCCGTCTCTACTAAAAATTAAAAAAAATTAGCGGGGCATGATGATGCACACCTGTAGTCCCAGCTACTTGGGAGGCTGAGGCAGGAGAATCACTTGAACCTGGGAGGCGGAGGCTGCAGTAAGCTGAGATCGCACCATTGTACTCCAGCCTGGGCAACAGGGCCAGACTTGGTCTCAAAAAAAAAAAAAAAAAAGTATATTACAAATAGAGGACACATCTTCATTTCCTTCACTGCTGTACTCTATAAAAATGGCAAATGAGGTCTTTGCTCCCAATATATAATAAAGTAGATTATTCCAATTGAAGAACTTAAAATTCCCATACACTTTTATTATTGAATTAAATCTATTAAAATTCTGTAATAACGACCCAGTAACTTTAAAACAGATGGAAATCCCATAAGCCACCAACAACATAAATCAACAAATAGTTTATATTTATCTATTTGCAGTGTTTTTATTTGCAGTGTTTATTCATAGACATATATTTTGATTTTGATTTTTTTCCTGATTACAAAAATAATATTTATTTTAAAATGCAAATGATTTAAAATGTATTGAAAACAAAAAGGCCACCCTAATCTCACCCTTCCAAGATTATGGTATTATACATTCTTACCATTTTTATTCAAATGTGAATGTGGTATCAGATTTGACTGTTTTATAAGAAAATTCCATTCATTCTGGCTAGTCAACATTTCTACCTGACTTATTCTGATAATTTCTTGTAAGTTGCTTAAGGACACACTTTGTCTTAAATATGTTTTTATTACCTGTTGCTCTTGAAAGAGCTCAGGAGATGCTACCTTAAGAAATGCTGCTTTGGTATGCAGGTTATTTCAAATTGTGGGCACTTGGGGAACAGCAGATGCAGGGAGGGGTTCTCTCTGAACTCCCTTATCTGCCCAAAGACTGATCCTCCAAAGGGAACTCAGTTGTGAACTCCCTCCCTGGAAGTGTCATGAACCAGGGGGAATTAACTCTGATCACAGGAGAGGACACTGGAGGTGACACCACACCCAGAGAGATTTTGTCACGGGCTGTCACCTGTTCTTCTGAGGGCCCATTCATCATTCCCCAAAACCATTTTCTCTCCCCTAATTTGTCTGCTCCATCCTCCCTCCCCTCTCCCCTATAAAGAGGGTATATATGCTTCTAGATCTCACTTTTCTTTCCTGCGGTGCCCCTGTGTACCTTAAAAATGTGTACTTCTCTCCTGTTAACTTATCTGCCGTCAGTTTATTTCATAGACTTGACTGAACCCTCAGAGGGTAGAAGGAAAGTCTTCCCTACCCTGCACACATGTTGAAAGCTTCACACAGACCAGTATTTCCATAAATGCACATGGGATGAGTGAAGAGGCATAGGTTTTTATTTTTCATCTTGACTTTGACGTTAATTTATTGACATAATGGGTCTAATACTAAACATCCATCCTCACATCTTCTTGAATAACTCATCTGGAATGACTGACATTAAAACATTGTTGTAAATTTTTAACAGTTAATAAAATGCCAATGAAAGCTAAAACATAGAAACCAAAATTGAATATAAATTTGAATATAGCTCTCTTAACTTCCTAATACATTTTTCTTTACTGTATTTTCCTTCGTTAAAAGTGGGTTAACCCACACGTTACAATACGAAGCGATTTTCAGAAGTAGCTATTAATTTAAGGTCTTTTTTGTTGTTGTTGTTATTCGTAGAGATTTTTTAAAAAAAGAAATTTCCCTAACCTGAGTCTTTTGAATCTGAGTACTATGAGAAAGTGATAAAATGGTTTCTTTATACATAATAGTGCCAAGGCTATCCTTGCTATTATTACTGTCTACCACCCCTTGGAAACGATTTTGTAAATATTAAATATACAGTCTTTCTTACTTGATCTCTTGTGGGATAATGTCCCAATAGTGTATTAATTTGAAAAGTCCTATTATCTAGGAACATATGAAGACTGGCTAATTTTACAAAATCTCAGAAATGAAAATAACAGTAGGAGTTCAATTTTGTTTCAAACAAAAGTGATTATTAGAGTGGTTAAAACAACAATGGGAAAAAAATGAATGAAAATCTATAAAATGCTTATAAGTAGGAACAGAAATGGACTGAAAAAAAGTTTGGGGGATTATTAACAAAGCTTTTTGTAGTGGTAATTAATATTCCCCATGACAGTATCTTAAAAATAAAATATAAGCCTCTTTTGTAGAGATTGTATTTTTTACATAATCTTATCTGTCTTATGGTGACTAACACTTAATGATAATTTATTTAAAATATATTGATAAGTATGACTCAAGGTATTGCTGATGAAAGAGTTTTTAATTAGAAACATTCACCTAAGCATTTTGAATTTAAGAAGAAACAACTTATGATCTTACCAAGTAGAGTCTTAGGCTTTAGTGCTGGGGATAAAGCTTAGTGTCTTGGATTTGATTCAGAATTGATGTTATAACCAGAGTGGAGGTTAGTACCCAGGTATGTTTTCCTTACCTGCTGAGGCTAGAATTGGTCCACATCTAGTTCTTGCTGTGATATACTCGGTAGACCATGCAGATTAACGTGGTTAGAGTTGTCTAAATATGATAGAATCTTTGAATCCCTGAATGCTCTTCAGAAAATACAGTTGCAATAAAGCGATTTTTAGAGCCCCCGTTGTAGGATTTTTAATTCGACTTCATAGTGATGAGTTGAGAAAGTTTTATTACTATCAAACTGTCCTGGAGTCTTGAATCTTCTTGCATTCAGTGGAAATTACATAGGCACGTCAAGTGAAGACCTTGTTGGGGGTTCTTAGTTCATGCCACACAGCACAAACTGCCGCTCTCCTGAGAGGCCAGCCTTGATGGTCTGTCTGGACAGCCACAGGTATCAGAACTTCTCTGGGAGGGAACACTCCTTGTTTGGTAGCCCTCCAAAAAAATAACTGCGCTTCTTACAAGATTAGAATGGGTGCCTGGCCGCTTTTGCTGTCACACTTTCACAGGCTCTGCAGAAATGACCACCAAAACCTCTTGTTTTATTCTTGTGACTCTAGATACCTGTAGGGTCCATATTTGTCATCTTATAGTATCTCTATTTCCATTAGGATTTAATAAAAAAAAAGTGAATAGCTCTTTTCTATTTGATCTCACGTAGATTTAAATTAATACGGTTGGGGTGGAATTTGCATCGATTTATTTATTGATAGTAACTTATCTGCGTTCTCAGAACTTTTTATAAGAACAAGGTTGAAACATTAGCTTGGTTTTGAGTACCCCTCCAATGTTGATTATTTTATTTCCGTTTATAGGAGAGGACACTGAGGCTATGAGAAATTAAGTAACCCTATTTAATTTAAACACCAGTAAATGGTGGAATCAGGACTTCACCCAAGGCCTGTCTGACTCCAAAGCCATTTTGCAGCACACTAAACACTTCAGTCTTTCTAAAAGGAGTATTTGAAAAGAAAGAAAGATGTTTCAGTTTTTAATTTCTATCTTAAACTCTAGCATTTGGATTCTTTATAAATTCCACTAGGAAATACAGATGATTTCAGATGACCAGTCGGTTGTTTATGCAAAGCATATTCAAAGTGATTTTCTGTTTAAAATATAGCTATACATCAATTTTTTTACTAGTGTCAGGGCAGGTCTTTTCTTGAAGATAGTGAGAATCAGCTCCACTGTGCTTGGGAGGAAAAAAGAAGTTTGATCCCTTCCATCAAGAAAGAGATAACTTCTGAGACTCTTCAGTACATAGAACCACAAGGAAAGAGTTTGGGAGTAAACACTTGATATAGCTTGTGTTCCAAAGTTGTATGTAAATCAAATTCTAGTTTAAATGTTTGGCAGTCAGAACCAAAGTGATGAATGCTGAAAGAATCCTTTGGGAAGGTGACTAATCACCTGTTAATTTACCTATTCATATTTTTACATATCAGATCTGCTTAAAACAGGATATAATTACATAATACATAACATCAGTATAATTACATCAGAAATATAGCTTGCCTCTTGGCTGTATTTGTAACTCTCACCTAGTTGTTGTTGTTGTAGTTTGTATTATCCCTTGTTTTATGAAGGCCCAGTGACAAAGAGGTCATGTTGAATCTCGGCTGTTCTCTGTGTGTAGCTCTCTACTTCCAGCCCCTTCCACGATGGTTCTCATATTTTAGTGTGCATCAGAATTTCCTGGGTGTTGGTTCGAAATTCAGACTTCTGGGTCCCATGCTAAGAGATAGATTCAGTAGGTTTAGGAAATCTGCATTTTGAACACACAACCACAGGAGATTCTGATTGCTTTCAGATGCCCCTTGGAGCAGCAGCCCTACAGTCAGAGCTCCTGAGTCCAACAGCAATAACAGGTATCAACCTGAGTTTAACAGCAATGATGAGTATCGACCAGAGTCCAAAAGCGATGATGGGTATCAACCCGAGTCCAACACTGATGATGGGTATCAACCCAAGTCTAACAGCGATGATGGGTATCGACCCGAGTCCAACACTGATGACGGGTATCGACCTGAGCCCAACACTGATGACGGATATCGACCGGAGTCCAACAGCGATGACGGGTATCGACCCGAGTCCAACAGCGATGACGGGTATCGACCCGAGTCCAACAGCGGTGACGGGTATCGACCCGAGTCCAACAGCGGTGACGGGTATCAACCCGAGTCCAACAGCGGTGACGGGTATCGACCCGAGTCCAACAGCGGTGACGGGTATCGGCCCCGAGTGTAACAGTGATGACGGGTATTGACCCGAGTCTAACAGTGATGACAGATATCGGCCCCGAGTCTAACAGTCATGACAGATATCAGCCCCGAGTCTAACAGTCATGAGGAATATCGACCCCAAATCTAACAGTCATGACGGATATCGACCCCAAATTTAACAGCGATGATGGATATCGACCCCGCATCTAACAGCGATGACGGGTATCAGCCCCGAGTCCAACGGCGATGATGGGTGTCGACCCCGAGTCTAACAGCGATGACGGATGTCGGCCCCGAGTCTAACAGCGATGATGGATATTGACCCGAAATCTAACAGCGATGACAGATGTTGGCCACAAGTCTAACAGCGATGATGGATATCGGCCCTGAGTCTAACAGCAATGACAGGTATCGGCCCTGTGTCTAACAGTGATGATGGGTATCGACCCCAAATCTAAGAGCGATAATGGATATCAGCCCCGAGTTTAACAGCAATGACAGATATCAGCCCTGAGTCTAACTGTGATGACAAGTATTGGCCCCGAGTCTAACAGCGATGACAATATTGGCCCTGAGTCTAACAGTGATCACAGGTATCGGCCCTGAGTGTAACAGCAATGACGAGTATCAACCCCAAGTCTAACAGCGATGATGGGTATCAACCCCGAGTCTAACAGTGATGATGGATATCAGCCCTGAGTGTAACAACAATGATGAGTATCACCCCCAAGTCTAAGAGCGATGATGGGTATCAACCCCGAGTCTAATAGTGATGATGGGTATCGACCCCAAATCTAACAGTGATGACAGATGTCGGCCCCGAGTCCAACAGCGATGATGGATACCAGCCCCAAGTCTCACAGCGATGACGAATCGGCCCTGAGTCTAACAGCGATGACAGGTATTGGCCCCGAGTCTAACAGCGATGACAATATTGGCCCTAACAGTGATGACAGGTATTGGCCCTGAGTGTAACAGCAATGATGAGTATCAACCCCAAGTCTAACAGCGATGACAGATATCAACCCCGAGTCTAACAGTGATGATGGGTATCGACCCCAAATCTGACAGTGATGACGGATGTCGGCCCCGAGTCCAACAGCGATGATGGATACCAGCCCCAAGTCTCACAGCGATGACGATATCGGCCCTGAGTCTAACAGCGATGACGGATACCATCCCCGAGTCTAACAGCGATGACGGATACCAGCCCCAAGTCTCACAGCGATGACGATATCGGCCCTGAGTCTAACAGCGATGACAGATATCGGCCCTGAGTCTAACAGTGATGACGAGTATTGGCCCCGAGTCTAACAGCGATGATGATATTGGTCCTGAGTCTAAGAGAGATGACAGGTATCAACCCCAAGTCTAATAGTGATGATGGTTATTGACCCCAAATCTAACAACGATGATGGATATCAGTCCCTACTCTTAATAGCGATGATGGATATCAGCCTGAGTCTAACAGTGATGACAGATATCGGCCCTGAGTGTAACAGCGATGACGAGTATCAACCCCGAGTCTAAGAGCAATGACGGGTATCGACCCTGAGTCTAACAGTGATGACAGATATTGGCCCTGAGTGTAACAGTGATGATGAGTATCAACCCCGAGTCTAAGAGTGATGATGGGTATCGACCCCGAGTCTAACAGTGATGACGGGTATCAACCCCGAGTCTAACAGCGATGACGAGTATCAACCCCGAGTCTAAGAGCAATGACGGATATTGACCCTGAGTCTAACAGTGATGACAGATATTGGCCCTGAGTGTAACAGCGATGAGTATCAACCCTGAGTCTAAGAGCGATGATGGGTATCGACCCTGAGTCTAACAGTGATGATGGGTATCGACCCCGAGTCTAAGAGCGATGACGGGTATCAATCCCAAGTCTTAACAGTGATGACGGGTATCAACCCCAAATCTAACAGTGATGACGGATATCGGCCCCAAGTCCAACAGCGATGACGGGTACCAGCCCCAAGTCTAACAATGATGACGATATCAGCCCCGAGTCTAACAGCAATGACGGGTATTGACCCCAAATCTAACAGCGATGACAGATATCAGCCCCGAGTTTAACAGTGATGACAGATATCGGCCCTGAGTCTAACAGTGATGACGAGTATTGGCCCTGAGTCTAACAGCAATGATGATGTTGGCCCTGAGTCTAAGAGAGATGACGGGTATCAACCCCAAGTCTAATAGTGATGATGGGTATTGACCCCAAATCTAACAACGATGATGGATATCAGCCCCTACTCTAATAGCGATGATGGATATCAGCCCTGAGTCTAAGAGTGATGACAGGTATCGGCCCTGAGTGTAACAGCGATGACGAGTATCAACCCCGAGTCTAAGAGCGATGATGGGTATCAACCCCAAGTCTAACAGTGATGACGGGTATCGACCCCGAGTCTAACAGTGATGACGGGTATCGACCCCGAGTCTAACAGTGATGACGGGTATCGACCCCGAGTCTAACAGTGGTGACGGGTATCGACCCCGAGTCTAACAGTGATGAAGGGTATTGACCCCGAGTCTAACAGTGATGATGATATCGACCCCGAGTCTAACAGTGATGACGGGTATCGGCCTCAAGTCTAACAGTGATGATGGGTATTGACCCCAATTCTAATAGCGATGATGGGGATGGTGGGTATCAACTGTACACACAACAGCCCCTGTGAAGCTTGGGCTCCTTCAGCTGTTTCTGTCAAGCACCTGGTTTTCTGAAGGTGGCTCCACCTCTGTCCTGGAATCAGTGAGAAGGAAGGTAGCCTTGTCTGAGCTGCCCTCATTCTTTGAACCTTGGGGGTTTAAAACTTTTTTTGTGTTATGTGACACAAGGGTCCTGGTTTCAGACATGGCTACAGTGCCTCACCAGGACTAGACAGAATAGCTGCCCACTTCACCAAGGTGGAAGAAGGCATTTCCAGACTCTAGCACAGATCTCACTTACGGATCACTAAACAAATACCATTTCATTTTCCTTACAACCTTGTCATGACAGTCTTGAAGAAAATGTAGAATCTCTTCTTGGCATTGGCTAAAGTCCCCTTGATTGCATATTTGAAACACTTGTTCAGTTGACATTTCCCCAAACAGTGTGTTAACAGAAGACATGATCTTTGCTGCTTTTCAGATACTGGATTAAGTCATGAGAACACCAGAATCTTTGCAGTATTTTCGTTGATATTATAAACCTAGAAATCATCAGCAGGCATGAAATTTCTGCTAACAACATATTTATTACCCCAAGCCAATGACTGACTAAGGCCCTGATGTTCAGAAATGTACAGTCTAGTAAGACATGTCAGCGATGACCCCTAACAGAGCCATGCTCCAGGACAGAATAAAATAAATGACAAATGTCTATTACCTGGCAGGGGGAGGAGGAAGCACAGAGGATGTAAATCTCACTAGGAGAAGACCTCACAGAATAGATGACATCTGAACTAGGCCTTGAATGAAGAGAAGTATATCAAATGCCGAGAGAATGGAAAAGGTTAACTACAGAACATGTTTAATGAAGCTTAAATTCAATAAAACATTGGGTGAAAGCCTTTTGCCTCCAGAACTGCTTAAGGCTCATGCTCATTGGTGGACCTTAAGTCCTCAGCAACTTGTTTACCTTAACACATTTGACTTCATGAATATAATGCCAGTGAAATGGACTCAGATATAGTTTACCTCCAAACGTTTTCAGCCAGAACTGTGCTGCTTAAAGTTGCTTCTGAAAGCTACCTCGGCCCCATCCCACACCTTATGAATTCGGATCCCTGCCGTTGGGGCCACAGTGAGTCTACGCTTCACCACCGCTTCATCACCGGCCTTCCATAAGCTCAAAAAAGGGATCTCATCTCCTCAAAACTGTGAATTCATATGTTTACTACATAAGGAGCAAATGGAAATGTGGAGAAACTTGTTAAGAAGGGTGTGGCTTTTTTTGATCTTTCTTCAGCCTGTCACATAATGGGCAGGAACCAGTTGTGGATTCACTTGCAAGGATTCCACTCCAACTCCCCGTTACTGAATTCTTACAAAACCTGCATTTTAACACCACCACTAGGGGTGACAAAAACAGCCTCCTGTCAAAAGAGATATGTTTCTGGAGCATAAACAGGGCCACTACAGTAGAATGTGCATTGCACACCATTGTGGGCACTGTTGCCGTTGTGGACACTGTCGATTTGTATATTTATTGTGACAGTTTCCCTGCAGCCTAAAGTACAGTGTCTTGAGGAAAGACACCTTTCTAATCTGAACAATGGCTCCATATGTGCCAGCTGTGGCCCTGAAAATAGAAAGCAGTGTTTTCTGCGTGGTCCATCTCTTCTTTATTTAACTCCCTGAATTGTGTGGCTCATCAGAGATGCTCACCAGCATCCTAAGGTAATGCCACATCCTCCTATTTTCTCTCCTTTTGTGGGGAAGCAGAATTGTTTAATAAGTTCAGAGTCAGTCAGATTGCATTCCTGGTAGCTTTTCTTCTGGATCTACAATTTTGATGCCAGTTATCTAGCAAGTGTTCCAATTCAGTTCCATAACACGTATTGACTATCTCCTGCAAGGTATGCATCAAAAATCTGAACGACTCAGGAATTGGTATTTGCTAGTATTTCTGCCCTGAAAGTGCATTGCAAATGATCATGGAATACTCACAAAAAAACTAAAAGTGTATGCAAGCTTCCAATAAGAAAACCCCTTAAAAATTCATAACTTTCGGCTGGGCACGGTGGCTCATGCCTGTAATCCCAGCACTTTGGGAGGTTGAGGTGGGCAGATCATGAGGTCGAGAGATTGAGACCATCCTGGCCAACATGGTGAAACTCCGTCTCTACTACAAATAGAAAAATTAGCTGGGCGTGGTGGCATGTGCCTGTGGTCCCAGCTGCTCAGGAGGCTGAGGCAGGGGAATCACTTGAACCCGGGAGGTGGAGGTTGCAGTGAGCCGAGATCACGCCACTGCAGTCCAGCCTGGTGACAGAGCAAGAATCCATCTCAAAAATAATAATAATTCCATAACCTTCATTTAAAATTAACGGAAAGCTGTAATCGATTTTGGCTGCCTGTCAGACATTTTTGTATAAGAGCAAAGCACGGCTGTACCTATCTGTAAAAAACCCTTAGCATGAGAGAGGCGTTCCTTTTTGGAATTAATCAGGTCTTCCCACTGACTGCTCCCTGCAGTCAAGTCTTCTGCTGTATGGACCGTGTTTCCAAGTCATGTTTCTTGCATCCTGCTCTTGGTTAGATTTTGACACCTCTCCATGGTCAGCTCATAGTATTTCTCAGAAACCCTTTTATACTCGACCCTAGCATCCTCCTATCAGCCCTACCCCTTGGATGACAGAGTAAATCCAATCTTCGTTATTTTAAGCACCTTCCTCTCAACACCTCTTGATCACTGCAGATACCATTTTGAATCCACTTAGCCAGGTACAACTACCTGGGGGCAAATCCCAATTAGAAATGAAGGCAGGACAGTGGAGACCAAGATGTATATATAGGATATTCAGGTCTCCTGCAGGGCATGGGGCCTGTGCTGGCCTCTTTCTGAAGAGTCAGCGGTAGCCCTGCTTACCCACACAGCAGTCATCTTGGCGGTGGCATGGGCCACCTAACCCTGATACCCCCTTGCAACTACATTATTTTTAGCAGAGGCATCAACTAACTCTTCAAGTTTGAAAGCTCAGAAACACCTTGAATGCCTTTTTTTCTTTGCAACTCACCCTGCTCAATTACCTGGCCCTATCAACTCCTTTTGTCCCTCCTCTCTCATTCAGTGCCCTTTGGCTTCTTTGACACCATCCTGGTCCAGCTGTGCATCACTCTGTCCTTGAAATTCTGCAAAAACACTCTTGAAATGTCCTGCCTAACCCTCCTTTCTCCTTCCAGTTCCTAATGTATCCTAACAGCCTAGTAACACCCAGAAAACCAAATCTCGTGACATCGTTTTCCTACTTACTTCCCCTTGGCCTATTCAGTCCGAACTCTGGCCTTTTCCAAGACTCCGTAACTTGAATTTCTCTCTCCTTGTGAACATATTTCCCGGTGCTTCCTCCCGGGTGAGCCAGCAACACTGTTCCTCAAGCACCACTCGTTCATTGTGGACTCTGTGTTATGCTGTTCTCCACAGGGCCGTGGTGCCCTTCTCTCCCCGCTCTTTATAGACAAGCCTGACTTGTTCTTCCTGGTTTACCCCAAGTCTCATCCCCTGTACCATGAGACTTTTTCAGATGCCCTAACCTGTACTGATTGCCCCTTTCTCTGAGTGCCAGTACCACTTACTGCCTTTAGACTGCTTAGCAGGGCATCTTAACTCTCCGCCTTGCTATTGATGACTTCTATGGAGGATGAGCATGTCATTTACTGCGCACACTGGGACACTCCTGAGGGTCAGTATGGTGCTGTTAATTATCTCATTGGGAAAACAGGCGCTTTATACTTGAACTTCCCGGGCAGATCGGGATACATGGTCATGCTGTTTATATTAGGGTGTCTTGTCTTCACAACAAGACTATAAGCTCCTGTGGGCAGAGATCACGTTTTATGTTTGCTTTGTATATTCCTTGTCCCATGAAACAGCACCACTCACATAACTAATGATCCATAAATACAGGAAGGAAGGAAAGAGGGAAGGAAGAAATCAGTCAGTTTATCTTCTCTGAAAAAGGTGGTTTCTTAAAAATCAAAACAGCACTCCCACAGGTTTCTTAAAAATCAAAACAGCACTCCCACATTGGATACGTACAGGGCATGAATAACAAGATAACTACACAACTTCTCCATGACAAGTTGGAAAAGGGCAGCTGAAATTCAAGGAGGCAGAATATAAATTTGAAGATTAGAAGGAACAGCAGCCACAGACAGATCAAATGGCATATAGGAATTAAGGGTAGTGTAATCTTGTCGATCAAAAACATTAAGGTAATCTAAAATAAAAAAGCCAAGTTTGTATTTAATGGGGCTGTGAAAGCATTGATCATTGTTAAATATCAAAGAGAAACCTCCACGGTATGCCACATGGAAAGTGTAGTATGTCATGCTTTCTTTCATACTAGAGAGGAATCATCCTCAAAAGTTGAAGTGTAATCATTTTATTGTGGGATTTTGGTTTAAATAAACCTAATAACGGAATCCATAGTTAGGCTAAATGTGCCGTTTCCTAGTTTTCCTACCTGAAGACTTCTTGACACATCCGTATACTTCCCCTCCAGGTATATTTTAGCCTTTGTCCTAGCAACTTGGTGCCTGAAAGAGTGAGGATCAGATAAAAGTCTGAGAACTCCTGTCAGCCTCAGAATGTGAACCCCAAATTTTCCTACAGCTGATCCCAATGAGAAGGGAGTTGCCACTGTGTAAAAAAGAACAGGAAATTGAATCCTACCTCTGAGGCATGGGCCCTGTCCTGACGCCCCAGCATCTTCCCCCGGTGTCCACGGTGGGACAGTGCATAAATCTCCACTGATGAGTGAGACCCCTGCCCCGCACCCGCCTTCCCAGCCCTTCACCCTTCCTTCTCCCAGCCTCTGTCACCTCTGGGTTGCGGTCTGACCTGAGCCTCCTGCCTATGTTATAATTTACCCTGGCACTGGAGGCGTTCATTCCAGACCTCCTGGCGAGGGGGTAAACTCAGCGCCTCATGGAATGACTTTGAAAATTCATATACTGAAAAACCCTCGCTTTAGAAAGAGAAAAACGCATGACTTTTTCCTCATTCATTTATCTAAAGAACAGTCAAGCCCAGTAACATGTGGAGGGAACGCATGTGTTTTATGCCACTTGCCTAAGGCCTCTGAGCTGGTGATTCCCAATCTTTTAAATTTTGTGTTGCTTGAGCCTCAGCATTCGATTCTATAAAATAAATAAATGAGTTATACGAAACATAATGCACCTTCCAAGTAGAATTTCTATAAATCCATAATTTTTTTTTTTTTGAGACAGTTTCTCACCCTGTGACCCAGACTGGACTGCAGTGGTGTGATCTTGGCTCACTGCAACCTCTGCCTTCCAGGCTCAAGCAATTCTCATGTCTCAGCCTCCCTAGTAGCTGGGATTACAGGTGTGCGCCACCACGCCCAGCTAATTTTGAATTTCTAATAGAGACAGGGTTTCGGCATGTTGGCCAGGCTGGTCTCAAACTCCTAACCAGGTGATCCGCCCACCTCAGCCTCCTAAAGTGCTGGGATTACAGGCATGAACCACTGCGCCCGGCCTATTAAATCCATAATTTTGAAACATTTTTCTTTGCTAAAAAAAAAAAAAAATGGATTCAACGGTCAAACATCATTACACTAAAGCTTGTTATTACCCAGATCTTAATACTTAGTAAATACGACGTAACCATTGAAATATACCAACTGTGTTAAACAAAGGCATGGCACAGCTCACCAAAGGAAAGTTCTTCTTGTTTCCCAACAGTTGTATTATAAATGGGTGCTTCCTTAAATTGATAGAAATTAAAATTAACCTTGTTTAATTTGAGAAACCACTATCAGCACTTTTTGGCACTTCCTTTTAGACAGAAATGTCATAGTAGCAAAACTGAAGGAAGACAAAGAATATTGTTGTCTGTCCCCCCACCCCTGCCACCACACACACACACACACACGAGAGAGAGAGAGATAGCTGTGGCCTCAAATCGGTGAGAATCACTGGGATTCAACAAGACTCTTCAAGCCTCAGAGTCCCACCAGTGTGGGGATAACAAAGGGAGCACTGTGGGACGTAGATTCACTCCTGACTGTCATTCAAGCTCTTGAACCATCACTTTCTCTAGGAAAAAAAAAAGTGTGGCTTGACTAACTTTTAAAGTCTCCAGTTAAAATAATAATAATAAAAGCCTCCAGGTCAGAGATTCTGTGGTTCAGAGGTTATATTCCAAATTCTCAGAAGTAAACCTAAAGAACCAGATAAATATGGCTTGGAATCAGTTTTATGGATATCTAGGGCCCTTTTCATTACATCAGCCAGCTGAAAATAACAGCCCCATAGAGTAGCAGTCAGCACGAAGATGAGATGGTCCTCACGGCCAGCTTTTGCAATCCTTGACTTTTGTGTCTTGTACGACTGACTGCCCCGCATGCCGGCTCCTGCTAAAGTCTCATGTCTATAACTCAGTAGGATATTCTCATTTCATCAGTAAATACCTTGTCTGCAATACTTTATTTCCTTAATTTAAAGGCATCATTTTTAGGTGCATTAGTTGATGAACTGTGCTAAATTCTGATTGTCAAACCGAATCTGAAATGAACTTCAGGGCTCAGTATGAGACCTCTGGCTATTTACTGAAGAAGTGCTTCTTACAGTTCCTTCAAGTTAAGTAACAGACGAGAGAAAAAACTTTCTCAGATTTACTCTTTCATGAACCATACATTCATACCTGCCTATTATGTGCCAGCAGTGAATGGAAGACGTGATCTCTGCCCTTGCTTTGAGCTTGCAGTCTTGATGAACACTGGACATTGTTATTTTAAAAAATCACTGGTTAACGAACTCAGGTAGGCCTTATCGGGGAAGGTCACGTCTCAGTTGAGACCTGAAGGATGAGATGCACTGCTGTCTTCTCTGTTATTCCCCGAAGGCAAATTACTGAGTCTTCTCCCAGCTCCCTTTTAAAGATAGCTTTTGGTGCTTATCCCAAAAGAGTGTGTGTGTAAGGAGTATAATTGAAATCTAGTCAGCGTTGACATTTCTGTGGCATAGCCCTAGGAGAAATTTTCTGATTTGTTCACAGACTGAAGAACGACATTTGTCCCCATTAACAGTAGTCTTTAGGTTAAAACGTTGAAATAATAGTGTTCCTCTTCATCTTGAATGTGGTAAAGACATTTGCCAAGAATTTGTTTTCTCTGCCTTCCCCTAAGATTTAAAACAGCTATTATTAATAATTTACTTCATATCCCCTCTCTAAGAATCAAGATGTTCCCTCTCCCTTCCATTCTCTCTCTTCCCCGCCCCAGAGTAATGGAGTTGGTGTGTATCTTTCCCATTCATTCTTACTTTGCCACTTGTGTTCCCGTCAATCCTATTCATTATTGTTTTGTGTCCTGCTTACAGATCTGTGGCCACAGCATCACACGGTACTTTTGCAACTTGCCTGTGTTTCACATGTCCTTTTTCATCTTTTTAAAGATTTGTCCATCTCAGCACATTCTAACCCTAGCTTAGCCATTTCATCTGCTAACCACTGCATGACAAAGCCTTTTCTTCCTCCAGGCTTCTCGTAAGAGACAGTGAGGCTGGCTTTTCTCTTTCCCTGTCACCCAAGGCAGCTGTCATCTCTGTGTTTCTGGGTGCCCATGTGTGGGTTTCTCTAGAGAACACACCAGGCAATGGAACGGCCGAGTAACAAGGAACAGCGTCTTCAGCTTCGCTGGGCATTATCAAGTGGCTCTCAAAACTGATTAATTGATGCATCTGCCAGCAAGGTAGAAGAAATCCCACTTTCCCGCATTCTTGCCAAGATCTCTTGTTACCAGATTTTAATTTTCACCAGTCTGATGGTTCTCAAGTGAGGCTCAGTGGTAGAATCTCTGATCACTAATGAAGTTCTGCATCCTTTCCTATTTGTCATTATTTAGTTATTTTTCCTCTGTGAATTTCCATCCTTTTCCTGTTTTTCCACTAGATGGTTCTTCTCTTACTGACTTACTGGAGTTTTTTTGTCAATGACATGCATTTCAAGTATCACCCCTTATTTTCCAGTTGTGAAGACGTTGCCTACAATGTCTTTTATCTTACCGAAGTTGAGATTTGACAGGCAGATGGATTCTCTTCATGCTTTTTGCCTTTTTGTGCCCATTTTAAAAGATCCTCCCTACTCAGATGATATAATTATATCCTTTTATTTTTTTTTCCAACAAAGTTTTATTTTTTATAATCAGGTCTTTAATCCATCTGGAATTTACTTTTACCTAAATGTGAGGTAGAGATTTAATTCAATTGTTTTTCACTGTGGATGATCAGTCATTTTAACAGCATCCATTTTTGACTGATTCATAATTCTATCTCTGCCATAGTCTGAGCTCCTCTCACACATGTTTACATTTGGTCTTTTATCTACCTTCGTCTTTGAGCCATCATTTTCATTACTCTGGCATTGTAATAATTCTTAAGATCTTATAGGTCATGCCCTCTGCACTCCTCCTCCCCTTTCTCCTCTCCAGTTCTTTGCCTCTGTGTTGTTTTCTTCTTCCCATAAATGGGAAGAAGAAATGGGTTCTTCTAACCCATAAATGGGCTGAACCATTTCTGCCTAGTGTTCCATTATTGGAATGCTAAGCTTGTGGGAGTTATTTTATATTCTGCTGTTCATGGTCATCACCAAGGTCTGATTTTTCACAAAAACATTTGCAATCTCCAGCATAAATGGATTAAGCACAGTGTTTAGTAATTCTTTGATTGAGGGTCTTCGAGTCTTTGTTCCGAAATTTTCCTCGGAACAAAGGAATGATGTGGAGTTTAGTTGGGTGATTTGTTGTAGATCAAGGATGGTTTTTCATCATGATTTGAAGATATTCCAGTGTTCTCTAGATTCAGTTGTTGTGGAGTCTGATCAACCTGTTGTTCTTCTGTAGATCATCTGTCTTTTTGCTCTAGTTGATTGTAGGATCTTTTGGCCTTTGGTGTTCTTTGGTTTCTTTATTACAGTTATGTATTTATTTTTCTTAATATACTTGATTGTTGTGCTTCTTAGAACCAAGGATCCATGACTCACCAGTTGTGAAGACTTTTCATCTACTCTCTCTTTCCTCTCCTTCATTCTTTGAATTCTCTCCCTCTGAAACATCTATTAGTGTTTACTGGACCCTTTTATTCTGTCCTTTGTATCCCTTATCTGTTCTATTTCCATCTCTCATGTCTATGTTACACTCTGGGTTATTCTCCAGATCTATCTCCCTGTTCCACTCAGTGATATTAATTTATTGATTAACCTGTCCTTTGAGTTTTTATGTTTCAGTTGTGATATGGTTTGGCTGTGTCTCCACCCAAATCTCACCTTGAATTATAATAATCCCCACATATCAAGGGCAGGCCAGGTGGAAATAACTGAATCATGGGGGTGGTTCCCCCATACTGTTCTTGTGGTAGTGAATAAGTCTCACAAGATCTGATGGTTTTATAAATGGAAGTTCCCCTGCACAAGCTCTCTTGCTTGCCACCATGTAAAATGTGCCTTTGCTCTTCCTTTGCCTTCCACGGTGATTGTGAGGCCTCCCCAGCCATGTTAAACTGTGAGTCCATTAAACCTCTTTCCTTTATAAATTACCCAGTCTCGGGTATGTCTTTATTAGCAGCATGAGAACAGACTAATACAAGATACTATATGTTTAATTTCTGTAAGTTCTATTTGGTTCTTTTTGAAATCAGCCTGTTATTTTCCTGGTGCATTGAATTTTTCCTTGCTCATTTTAAGCACACTTACTTTGCTGTCCATTGCCATCCACAAGGGGTGTCTCACCCTGCAGCTCCTGAGTCCACTGCCTCTGGTATTTGCTGGGTCATTGTATGTGTTTCATTATTTTAAATATGAGCTCATCTCTAGCAGGCCTGTTTTTCTTTTCTTTTCTTTTTTCTGTGAGAATCTGTTGTGGCCCAGGTTTCAAGGCATCCTTTCAAACTCATTCTGCATTTCCCTCTCTCTGGAGCCCAGGAGTCTCAACAGCAATGCTTCTGCTCACTTATAGTTTTATGCAATGGTGCAACCTCAGATCCCAAACCTCTGTGAGGTGCAGGCCAAGCATTTCATTTTTTTTTTTTTAAGATGGAGTCTCGCTCTGTCTCCCAGGCTGGAGTACAGTGGCACCATCTTGGCTCACTGCAACCTCTGCCTCCCAGGTTCAAGCGATTTTCCTGCCTCAGCCTCCCAAGTAGCTGAGATTACAGGTGTGCACCACCACGCCCAGCTAATTTTTGTATTTTTGGTAGAGACGGAGTTTGGCCATGTTGGCCAGGATGGTCTCAAACTCCTGACTGAAAGTGATCTGCCCGCCGCGGCCTCCCAAAGTGCTGGGATTACAGGTGTGAGCCACTGTGCCTGGCTGCCTTTAGAATTTTCTAAGGAACCTTTCTTTTTCTCCCTCAAAGTCTGGACAGAGCTTGCTCGTTGCCTCCCTGTACTCGGGGGTAGACCCTTGCCCTTTGCAGCCTCACCAGAGGCTTTCGTTCCAGCTCTCCCATCACATAGGCCCAAGACCTCCTTGCCCTTGCCCTGTGGGTGTAGAAACCTGAGCTTCATGTGAGACTGCCTTTCCCTCACCTGCCTCAGGACAGTCGCAGGCTGTGCCTTTGGAATGCACATGCCCTTCCTTGTGACTGGAGCATTCTCCACCTTCTTTCTCCTTTCTTCAGCTCACCTCCACTTTTTTCTTTGGTTTCAGCTCAGCCATCACTTTATCTGAAAGCTTTCCCCGCTACCCACTCCCACCCAATAATGGGTGAGGTGCCCCTTGGCTGTGTACCTGGTGCTCGGCGTGTGTAATTGCAGGTTTGCTCTGGGCTGTCCTTGACTTCTTACTGCCTTTATCCTCCATTTCACTGCAGGATTTTTGGGGACAAGGGACCATTTGTTCAGTAACACCTAGCATAGTCCTGGCACATTATGTGTGGTGGATAAATATGTCTTGAATTAATGCATTTTATTTTTGTAATAAGGTCACAATGAGGTTTAAGTCCCAGATTTGTAACCCTCCCCCCAGTTTGTGTACAGTGTCAGAGAACATCATCTTCACCATAGTTGCACTTAATAAGAATCAACAAAAACGTGAGAAAAACCATATGCTGAAATAGATCACATCTCAAGAGATCACTTGTGACTGTGTGTCCCGTGATGTGCCTCTAAGATTTGTGGGTGCACAAAGGCCAGTGGTGCCCACTCAGTGTGCTGAGGCTGAGGGGCATCCAAACACGGGGGTCATATGCCATTGAGGACGCGTGAAGAGTCAGGCTTGCTGGGCATCCCAGCTACTCAGGAGGCTGAGGCAGAAGGATTGCTTGAGGCCAGGAGTCCAAGGCCAGCCTGGGCAACATAGTGAGACCCCCATCTTTAAAAGAGAGAGAGAGCAAGGCTTTACTCCAACCTGTTTAAAATGCTCTCTTCTAGAAGGCTCTTTGGTTTCTAGAGTGGAATGTCACTCAGTTCCCTTAGGAAAAAGATGTCTCGTGGGGTGCAGGTGGAATTGGGCAGGAACAGGGCTGCTGTAAGGCCTGGACTCTGCATCCCTCTCCATGAGCCTTGTCTCTGTGTCTCTGGTCCCTGCCTCTCTTTGCGCATCTGCTTCATCCTCTCCTCCCTGCCGGCTGACTTCCTCCTTTTGTTTGCTGGCTCCTCACAGTTCTGTTTGCACACAGTAGGTGCATCATGCTACTCGCATTGTGACATTTTAGCATCGCTGGCTCTTGCTAAACCCCTTGTTTCTTCATCTCCTGCCATTCTCAGGAGGACAGGAGAGGGCCCGGCTCATCACTCGACACATCTGCGGCTTGGCTCCCCTTAGGTCAAGGGTGCATCATCTTGCAGCCAAGCTGTGGCTTAGAGGGCACTGGGACAAAGCAGTCCTGCCCATTTGGGCAGCAGGGGCGAGAAGTGGGCAGTTTCCTGTGAACATCCTGATCTTTCTCCACGTTCACAGTCAACCTTCTGTTTGGTTGGTCCCCCATTTCTAGCCCCTTGACCCCAACAAGTAAAGTACTGGGTCATGACATCAAATGTTCCAGATACAGAAAGAGAATCCTTCACCTCTGCATTGCATATTACTTAGTTGTCATTCTAGTTGATGTATCAACCAAGTATTGTGTGTAGGGTTGGGTTTAGGTCTGAATTTTTTCTGAGTGGTCTGCTAAAATCAGATTTCTGAGCCTGCATGCTGAGAACCCATTCCAAGACTAGAACAATTGCACCAAGATGTGGAGGACCATCAGGCCCTGCCTGAACAACCAGCCTTGATTCTAGCTCTTTCCCACCCTCTCGTAGTGTTTTACATGCCACAGGTATGGTTATTTTAATACAATAGATGGATATCAAGCCTACAATTTATATGTTTCCACTTTCTCCTTGAAAATGGAGAATGACGCACTAAGTATTATTGGAGAAAAGATATACTCTATTAGATCTAGGTAAAATTTGAGCCACAGTCATCAGATCTCAGAGTTCAAAGTATGTGTAAATCCATCCTACCCACGGCCCAGTTTCCAGGCACAGCTCCCCTGCCGCACACTCACCTGGCCTCCTGGGGACAGGTAATCTGCCAGCCCCTGCCCTGTTCCTCTCCCCAGTTGGCCACCATGCTTCTATTTTGTGAGGTTGAAAGTAACACCCAGCATCCTCAAGTTCAACATGGGAGGATGCACTTAGCTATGGCTTTGTTTGTTTACCATTCAACCATTTTTCTTGTACCGTCACTGCGTGCTCAAATGCAACTGTAAACGTAAGTCATTTATGTGGAAAATAACTCCTGTTAGATGTGCAGTCTCAGGCCAGTCATTTAAGCTGCCCATACTTGGATTTTGTCATCAGTAACTGAGGATCACAATACCTAACCCTGCTGGTTGTTGCGAGATTAAATGAGATGTGTATAAACTGCCTCGCACATGGGGAGTCTCAAATGATAGCTCTAAGACAGTAAGAGGAAAGAGAGTGGGAGGGACCCTGGTTGTGGTCCGCTCACTCAGATGTGTGGGCGGGCTGCCTGCCATGACTCCCTCTCCCTCTGCACATCCCTGGCTGCAAGTGCTCCCCAGTTGGGTCCCTCTGCTTGTCCCCTGGGACCTGGCAGCAGAGACTATTGTCCCTTGTCCCTTTGCAAGCTCTAGGAGTTTGGCAGATCTAATGAGGACCCAGTTTTCAGTTCTGCGTGCTGTAAACCTTGATTTCCATGCATGATGTAAACCTTGATTTGATCACAAGTTAAAACTGAATCATCAACTCTGAAGCTGGGCTGTGACTGCCAGCCAGAGTTCTTAGAGGATTTCACAGCGATGTGAAAGCTCTTCCCACCTACCCCTGCTTCTTAAAGTGTCTGCTAGACACAGTGACTTCCTTTCAAAGTCCATGCCACATTCTTCTTTTCCCAGCACAGCCAGCCAGAAAAACCCAAATTAAAAGTCCCTCAGGAGAACGACAGTGTGGCTAGATCACTGTTTGGGGAACATGGCCAGTCCGCCTTGTTTGCAGAGTGGCGCGTTCAGCATGTCAGACACGCCACGCGCTGCCGCCTTCACTTGATGATGATTACATGAGGAGCAGCATTCTGAAGGAAGGGTTTGCCCAGCCACCAGCAGCTGATTCATTATTTATATACAATTAAAGGGCAGGATTCAAATGAATGCTAGCATCTGGGAAAAGTCATTATTCATGGACGGATCAGATTGAGCATTTGTCATTTCTCTGGTGACTTAACATACGCCCTGTGCCTTGGAACTCAAATTATACTAAGCAGAAGAGATGCTTTAGCTCTTTTATTTAGTTTAATTGTTGATCTTATTTCACTTTTTTCAGATTATCTGGGCTCGTTTAAAAGTAGCCCTTGCTGCTTCTTCATATATTAAAATAGGAAAGGAGGGAGATTTCTTTTTAGAACCTATTGCATTCTCAAGATGAATGCAAATGATTCGACTATGATTCTTAATGACCCACTATTAACATAGTAGAAAACTCAGTGCATTAATGCAATACCTCTTTTCACATCATTACTCCTAATGGAACTGTTACCAGGATAATAGCTTGACCTTTAGCTATAGATTCAGGTAGCAAAAATGCATTCTGTCTCCCCAATACCTCTATTCACATAGCATATTGACTGTTTGCAGATCAATGCAATGACAGTCTTTTGGCCTTGTCCTTGAGGCCTCATCTGCTATCATAATGGAGGGAATAGGATTTCGTCTTCAGTAAGTAAATTCTAGTTAAAAGTCTCTTTTAAGTTTAGATGTAATCCATGAACTAGGGTGTCAATAATGTGCCCAGTGGAAGTACTTATTTGTATAGGTGTTTTTCAAAAAGCCTATTGCTGCCCCTTCAAAGATCTTAGACACAGACCCAGGAGACAGTGATTTTCTTGGCTTCTTTCTATTGAAACCAAATAAGTTTTCATTGAAACTAGAAAAAAATAACCAGACACGGCTGCCCTTTTAGTGACTGAGAGAATATTTGAGCTCAAGGTTGGACTAGAAAGGTCTGATCTGAACCCCCTCATGACATGGGAGCAGAGAGTCCACAGCCTCCTTTGGCTTATCTTAAACTGGCTTGTCCGCACACGTGGGAATCGTTCAATGTGGCATAGTCCAAATCCACTTTGTTAATTTGGAGCCATGACTTTCTAATGTGTGCTAATTTGGACACATGCATTTCACAACCCAAGAAAAGAGGGGTTGCTATGGAAATTAACTGTATAAATAATATTACAAGGGGGGAGATGTGTACCTGCTATAACAGTGGATTCAGTCATTTTTGTAGTACACATTTTTCTATAAACGAATAGGATGCTAAATAGAAATATTTTGTTCTATTTATTAAAACAGGACTTCAAGAACCTTTTGGAAATTATCTGATCAGTAAATGTTCTTGTGGGTATTTGAAGGCAATAAGACCTTGCTTCTTTAAATAGATCCTATTAATTAAAGACTTCCTGCTAATTCAGATAGACCATTTTCCCCCAATTAGCCTAAATTTGTAAGCTAATGTATTTCCTTCCATTAGAAACAAAAGTGGAAAATATGTTTGCTTATTTATCAAATGCTTGAGTTCTTCAGAAAAATGCACTATAGTAGGTGCTTTGAGGGAGACAAAAGAGATGAAGACCCTGAAGTTGCTTAGAATCTAGTGGCAGAGATTTCAAAGCATGCGCAGCCCCAGGGATAGGCTGTCCTCTGCACCTCCCCACCTTGCTCTCCCGGCCCCCGCCCATATCATACATTGGGCAACCTGGTTGATTTTCTCCCCAGTCATTAATTCTCCTTTCTAAGCATCACTGCCCCTCTCCCCAGGTGGGGCTTTGATGGAACCTTTCCACTAAGACTCTCAGCCCTACGTCTTCCTCTCGCTCCCCAGTCCCACTGTCATCCGGATCACTTCTCTGTCCACATGACAGACGGCCTAGCCTATGTAGTGGATGGACCTCATCCATGGTGACATTCACTTCTGCTGCATTTCAGCCCCACACTGTTGGCCACACCTGAGCATCCTCACACGCGGTTGCTCCTCAGCTGCTCCTGCATGCTCCGGTATCTCAGAACAATTCTTCCAGCTGCATGACCCCTGCCTGCCAACCCATTGACACCTGCACTCCCTGATCTCTATAGATAGCTCCAAGCCCATGAGCCTTTTTCTGTATTCACGTCCTTCCTAGATTTGGGGGGTGAAGGATAGGGGAGGAGTAGAGAGGTGAGTTCATTCATGCCCGGTCACACCTTCAGCATCTTCACGGGCTTATATCCCTGTTCTTCTGCCAAAACTGTCCAGCAAAACCCTGAGCCTAGACCAGCCCTACCATCCCGTGTCCTAAAGGAGCTGCAGGAGACGGAGGTGGAAAGCCTGTAGACTCCCGCCACGCTGCATAGCCCTACCACGTAGCCTGTCTGTGGCGTGGCAGCCGTATTAGTTGTCTGTGGTCTGCTTCCTCTCCAATTCTTCTCAGAGATGATTCCACACCTCCCCTACACCCTCCATCCTCCAGAGCCCCTCACCCCTGAGCTCACTGAGGCCTCAGGAGTGTTTGCTCCAGCCTAGAACCACTTCTGAATCGACCATCTTCCCTTTCCGTGGGTTCAGAAGAGGACATTTCCCTCCTTCTGTTGGAGGCAGCCCCTCCATTTCTATTCCAGATTCATCAGCCCCAACCCCCCCAGGGTGATGCCTTTGACCGTCTCCTCCTTCTCCCTGTATCCTGTTCTCTCCTGCCACACCACTGCTCCCTCAGCCTGCACGTCACACCCAAGTCCCTGTCCCTCAGCCCTCCTGTCTCCCCTCTTCTTCCACCCCTCTCTGGGCCAGGTGTCCTGAGATTGGCCACCCTCCCCAGCCCTCACTGACCTTCATAGGGCACCAAGCCGCCCCTTCTGTCCCTCTTCTGCAATGCAGCGTGCTGGTCCCTCCTTTTTATGAGAACCACTCAGTGGCCTCCCCTCCACTCTCCCCACCCCTCCTGCCTGGCCAGCCGTGCTTGGGCCCCTTCATGTGCTCTTCTGCCTCCACCTTCTCCTTGGCAGCGTGGCGTTCCCCAGGGCTCCCAACCCAGCCTGTGCCCTTTCCACTCTCCATGTTCTCTCTGGTGAACGTTCTCTCTCTCACTGTTTTGTTTTGTTTTGTTTTGTTGTGTGTTTGTTTGAGTCAGAGTCTTGCTCTGTCACCCAGGCTGGAGTGCAGTGGTGCGTTCTCGGCTCACTGCAACCTCCATCTCTCAGGTTCAAGCGATTCTCCTACCTCTGCCTTCTGAGTAGCTGGGACTGCAGGCGCGTGCCACCATGCCCGGCTAATGTTTTTATTTTTAGTAGAGATGGGGTTTCACTGTGTTGGCCAGGCTGGTCTCGAACTCCTGACCTCAAGTGATCCACCCGCCTTGGCCTCCCAGAGTACTGGGATTACAGGCGTGAGCCACCGCGCCCAGCCTCTCTTACTGTTTTAACCACCACATGTATGTCTGTGCCTCTTAAACCAGTGTGTTCAATTTGGCCCCTTCTCTGAACTGTAGATTTCTCTGTCTAAATACACTTGGCCTCCTTGTCTGCAGGTTCCACGTCCACAGATTCAACCAGCTGCAGATTGAAAATATTCAGGAAAAAAAAAATTCAATGCAGCAATAAAAAATAATGCAAATAGGCTGGGTGGCCCTCCACTGCTGTTGTATGCTCTGGTATCTCAGGGCACAGTTGTACAAGTCGCTTAAAGTCTCACTCAATTGCCCAGGCTGGAGTGTAATGGTGTAATCATAGCTCACTGCAGCCTTGAACTCCTAGGCTCAAGAGATCCTCCTGCCTCAGCCTCCAGAGTAGCTGGAACCACAGGCTTGCACCACCACTCCCGGATTACTGATTGACTGATGGATTGATTGATTGATTGAGACAGGGTCTCACTGTATTGCCCAGGCTGGTCTCAAACTCCTGGTCTCAAGCAACGCCCCCCACCTTAGCCTCATAAAGTGTTGAAATTACAGGCATTACCCACCATGCCTGGCCTGTATCAGGGACTTGAACATCTGCAGATTTTGGTGTCTGCTGGGGGTCCTGGAACCAGGACTATATCTGCTATCTCCATGTGGGTGCTCCACAAACACCCCTAACAGCATGCTCCAAACCAAGCCTGCGATGTCCTTTCAGCTCACACACCTTCCCTTTCTTCTCTTTTTACCACATCATGTGATTAACCAAACAATGCCAGTTCTCTGAGAGGCCCTAGACGCGTCACTAGCTCCGGCTTTCGCAGTAGCTTCCTGAAGGGGAACTCCCTGCTGCTCTCTGGGCTCCTTGAAATGTGTCTGCCATGCTACTGACATCGATCTCTTCCTGCACAATCGGATTGTTGCCATGTGTTTGACAGTAGAGATCACATATAGCCGCTTTTCTCTTTCAAATTATTTCCTTAGGATAAATTTCCAGGAGTAAGATTACCAGTCCAAAGGTATAACAGTTTTATGTCTCCCATTAAATATTACTCTTATTTCTCAAAAGGGTTTTCCCTGTTTGCACTAATAGTAATGTGTGAATGTGCCAATTTTATCAGTATCAAGTATTAGCTTTCTAACATTGTTTTTCTGATTTTAGTAGGTATAAAGTGTGTTTTGCAGTTCTTTGGTTAACATATTAATGGAACATTTTTCCTAATATTTTTTGCCCATTTATCTATGGGGACTTTTGAAGTTACTCTTTTATTTGAATGAGCTCTTCATCTGATGGTAGATGGTGAACCTTCTTGGTCACATTTAGTACAACTAGCTTTTCTCATTCTGATGAAATGTCTTATTTTTCATTCAATAGAAATTTTACCTTTTTCTTTAGTTGAATCTGTCAATATTTTCTTTTGTCTTTTTTTTAAGAGAAACCTTTTAAAACATCGAAATTACCAATATTTTAAATACCAAGGAGGCAGTGTGATGTGATGGCCTACCAGATCTTGACCTTACGAAGGACAAGTTGAAAAGATGAGTTTCAAAGTGCTCAGGAGTGTGTGTGAGGTGGAAATGTCAACCCCAGCGCTGCGTGTGCGGCCACACACTGTGCATAGCCCTCCCACGATCATTGTCCCGCCTGCCTTGTGTCCTACCGTGGGGTTCTCCTTAGTCCCCTTTGTGCTGAATCGGGCAGTTCTTTCCTGGGAGCTCGTGTGGTGTGCAAAGGGTTGACTTAAAGTAGAATTGGAACTTTCATCACGACACCAACTGCATTATTATTTGAGTAGTGATTGAGTTAGTAGAAATCACCAGGAGAAAGACCATCTTTTCGTGTTAATTTTGCGTTCAATTTTGAATTGACAACAAAAAAGTGAACTCTTTTAATACGTTTGCTAAACCTTGTCATAAGGTCAGTAGACCCTTAGGAAGCATTTTCTTCTCTGCCTATAAGACACATACACATGGATGTGGAGCCAGTAGAAAGAGTAGCTTCCATACAAACTACTTAGTGAGTATCGCCAGTTTCGTTTTGAAGCACAATGCATTGGACCTACCCAGGACCTGTCAATCTCCATCTTTGCCAAACAAATATAATACAGATACCGAAGACATATCGTGCAGAACTGACCTCCTTTAGAAATCTACTTTTTTTTCTTTTTAGAATATATTTCTGTTTCAGATCTGCATATTTTACTTGTTAAGGTATTTAACAATATTTTACATTTTCTTTCAGTCTTCACAGAAAAGTACTGTACAGCTAACCATGTGGATAAGCTTCCTGGCCCAAGAGATTGGGTACAGATTCTACAGGATCAAATTAAACTGGCCAGAAGAAGGTTAAAAAGAGGCTCAGGTATGACTAAGGTGCAGAAAAATAATTGGAGAAGCACTTATGAATTCTTAGACTTTATAAAGTACAATACTTGGCTCTAGGTTATTTCAGCATCTTGTCTTTTGAAGGAGAGACTGTTTATAATATGCTGATTTGCTCTCTTAAAGTCTTATTCAAATGAATTTTGAAACTCACCTTCAGACTAAATAGTAAAAATTATGTCAGGCCACTTGCATTGAATAGTACAAGTGAAAAAGATTGCTAATCTCATTTGTGGTCTAATGCTGTCATATATGAAAACCGGTTCTCTCTTTTATGGTTCGCTTCTGTCTGCCTATTGATTTTTATTTGTTTGAATCTGCATGACTTTATAAAAGTACAAGTTGCTTAAGGTTAGAAAAAAAAGAAGAAAGAAGCTCTTCTATCAGCAACACCACATCAAGTAAAAGGGATTTTAAGTGGGGGATGGGTGTGTGTGCTCACACGTCCATGCACGGGTTGTGTGTGTGGGTTTAAAATTCTGGGCTTGGAGATTCTGGGATTATTCTTCCAGGAAAAGTGAGCACCCGTTTCATTGTGACTGTTCAGATTTGGTCACTGAAGTCTCAGCTTCCCCAAAGTGACAGTGGGGGCCAATTTCCTAGTGAAGAATCCCTGTGTAGTCAGCTTTCTCCCATCAAATAAGAATAACTATCTCAAACACCACATGTTCTCACTCATAGGTGGGAATTGAACAATGAGAACACATGGACACAGGAAGGGGAACATCACACACCGGGGCCTGTTGTGGGGTGGGGGGAGGGGGAGGGATAGCATTAGGGGATATAACTAATGTTAAATGACGAGTTAATGGGTGCAGCACACCAACATGGCACATGTATATATATGTAACAAACCTGCACGTTGTGCACATGTACCCTAAAACTTAAAGTACAATTAAAAAAAAAGAATAACTATCTCTAGGAGGCCACAAATCTCTAGATAATATTTTTAATTTCATATAAATTAGTGTAGCCATTATGAAAAGCAGTATGGAGGTTCCTCAAAAATTAAAAATAGTTGGGAGGCTGAGGCAGGAGGATTTCTTGAGCCCAGGAGATCGAGACCAGCCTGGGCAACATCTCCAGATGTTTTGTGGAGACCCTATCTACACACACACAAACACACACACACACACCAAAAAAAAAGAAAAAAATCTTAAAAATTAGCCAAGCAAGATGGCACGCACCTGTTGTCCCACCTACTTGGGAGGCTAAGATGGGAGGATCACTTGAGCCCAGGAGTTTGAGGCTGCAGTGAGCGACGACTGGCCACTGCACTACAGTCTGGGTGACAGAGCGAGACCCTGTTTCTTTAAAAAAAAAAAAAAGGTGGAGAAATTCTGTAGAAGGCTATTCTCAGGGACCCAGAAAGACCTTGCTGGCAGTGGATCATGTGTCTGAGTAAGAAACACAGTGTAAATGTTCTGCTGCCTTCCCCATGCTGCACATTTTAGACATAAACACACCTTAGTTTCCTTCTATTGTCAGATGCTGAGACCGATTATTATAAGTTCTGGTCTCTATTCCCTTCCCCTGTCCCACCAGCAAGCAGGCACGCATGCAGTAGGGATGTGCCGCCACATCCCTCTTCTCTTTCCCCCAAGCAGACTGGCCAGGGAACACATCCCCTAACCATGTCTCATTTCTATTAATAATTCCCATCACAAATGCCCATTTCCCCCCAGGTTTGCCCACTTCTACAGGATGAGACCCAAGCCACAGCCTGCTCCCCACCCCTCCCCTCCTCGAGGAGTCCCCACTCACTTGCCCGCTCCTGCCCCTTAGACATCAGAATATTTGATGTTGGACATTGTAACTTTTGACCACTGGTTTAGATGATCTGCCCAGATACTTGTGATCGGCTCCCTTGGCCCTTCTCTTCTGCGTTCCTAGCAGGTTCTATTAACAACTGAGAAGTAGAAGGTGGCTGTAAGACAAAACCAACCCTGACAAGCAGACCCAAATGACAGCACATCAGCAATGACCTGCCAAATACAGTTTGTCTCCCCATTTTGTCAAATCCTGTTCCACATCATTCTCCTCTAGGGCACAGAAGTGGGGCCCCAGCAAATTGAAACTAGAACCACTTGTATTTCCTTCCATGATGCCGATAGGAACCGAGAGGTCTGGATCAATAATATTACCTGCTCTCATGCTTTTTGTCTGATTTTCAGTCTAAATGATAATACAAACAGTGTCTCATAGAGATTGCACAATTTCCACCTTATTTGTCATATCTGGCTCCATTCCTGGAATGAGGTAGAGATTCTGACTCCACAAGCTAATTGGCTACCACTTAAGGAAGCCTGCACTGCCTCTAGAAAAAAAGAAGTGCCCCACACAGATTTGAAAGGCCGTTATGCAAATCCAAATAGAAATTCATTTGGGGCTGTCGTCACATGGAATAATTTTTATTCTATAGCTCCAGTGATTCCTTTCCTGGTGTGCATTTTTATCATTGCCATCAGATGATTTTCTCAGAGCTGAAATCACAATATATCGTGTTAGATCTCAGAGTAAAGATGTCACTGCTGTTAAATGTTTATTGGACTTGCTCAATCTTTTCCAAATTTACCAACTTGATTGTCACCGGGGAAGAAAGACTGTGAGCTTGTTGTTGCAGATAGATGTTATAATTAAATTTGAGTAACACAACAGTGCCTTCCTCCTTGACTCTCAGCCCCTATTCATGCAGCTAGCGTGTTCTGATTTATATATAATCATCTATATATTTTTTTGGTTATATATGTTCTGTTCTTACTAAAGCACATAATTGCATAGGCCTGTTTTTTCAAAGGGAGGATAGCTGAATTACAAAAGGAAGGTCAGTTTATACCCAAAACTGATCTTGTTATAACTAAATGAAAAGCAATTATACATGTAAAGAAAGTTGCCAAAATATAAAATGAACTAGAACTCGAAGATTTAAGAAATTAGCTCATATCGATGCATATGGTATGTTTGGACTATTAATAGCAAAGAGACGAATAGCCCAGACATTAACGCGACTCATGTCCTTGGCATTGTTACTTACTAGCTGTGTTACCTGGAGTGAGTTTCCCAACCTCTGTCTCACTTTCCTTATGTGTTAAGATGGGCAGAGCAACAGACCCACCTTGTAGAGTGTCCTAAGGGTTCAGCGACACACTGCATGTCAAGTGCCCCGTGAGCATTTAATACATGGTGATTATCATTGTTATTATTATTGAAGGATTTTTAAAATCCTAGGCAGTGAGAGAACTACCATGAAGACCATCTGTCCCCAACTCACTCAAACCAATTAGAAGAAAATAATGTCTTCTAAATATAAACATAACATATGTTCATTATTTTTCATATATAAAATAATTTCTAAAAGCCATAGAACAAAATTTAAAATACCTAAAGCCTTTCATCCAGAGGGAAACACAGTTAACATTTCAGTATGTGCCATATTTTTTCTATAAACCTGTTTCCAGAATCTTAATCACACCATTTATCCCATGGTTTGAATATTTTTATGTTGTTAAATATTCATCTACAACATCTTTTTTTTTTTTTTTTTTTGAGATGGAGTCTCGCTCTGTCGCCCAGGCTGGAGTGCAGTGGCGCGATCTCGGCTCACCAAGCTCCGCCTCCCGGGTTCACACCATTCTCCTGCCTCAGCCTCCCGAGTAGCTGGGACTACAGGCGCCTGCCACCTCTCTTGGCTAATTTTCTGTATTTTTAGTAGAGACGGGGTTTTACTGTGTTAGCCAGGATGGTCTCGATCTCCTGACCTCGTGATCCACCCGCCTCGGCCTCCCAAATACAACATCATTTTTAGCAGTTGCTAATCTAATCCAACCTAGGTTGGTCTTGCATATTTCATCCCTTCTCAGTGATTTCTCTTTGTGGTGGATCTAGCAGGTCAGCAGACAAGGGGTCTTTCATTAATGCCAGTGAGCGTCCATCTGAGGACAAGATGTTGGAGGATGAAGGAGACAGGGGAGCCATACAATATTTCTAGCCGTAGCTAAGCCCTGATTATGTTTAAAGCAACAATAAAAACAAGTACGTAGCACTAGTTTAGGCTGCTTCTGACTCAGTGTTACAACATGGTGCCAAGGCTGACCTCATTCAACAGCCTCACAAGGGCTGCCCACGCACATTATGCAGTCAGCAGGGGCCTGCCTGTGGGGACCACAGGCCCTGAGCCATGGAGGCCACCACCGAAACTATCCCAGGGGCCATAATGTGATGTTTTCCCATCCCCACATGTTACGGGAAACTAACAAGCCCATCCCTTGTCAAGAGACACACGTGCACCTTTTTTTTCGCATGTAACAGAAGGTTTTTTGTGACTGAAGGATCTACCTTTGGAAAACTCCCAAGGAGATGGATACATTTATCAGACACGAGCGAAGGTTTGCATTTTAAAACTTAGAAATGGAGAATCTTTTGAAGCAACGCCTATTCCTTCTTCATGACCACGTTAATGCCAGAGTTAGATTGGCAGTTCTAGGATCTGAATCAGCCATCTCCAAAGAAAGGTTCATTCTCAAGATTTCCTAAGCTGCCCCCCAGGAGTGGTTCCGGCGATGCCAAGTGCAAATTCTACAGCAGGAATTCATTGACACATCCCCGCGATGACCCTATTTAAACAATTCACCCCACATGCTGGTTCGATATTCAAGCCTATGTAAATAAGTGAAAATAAACAGAAATCATCAGTGATCAATAGAATGAGGTTCATAAGATTTTAAAAAGTTTTAATATCATGAGGTCAGGAGAGCGAGACCATCCTGGCTAACACAGTGAAACCCCGCCTCTACTAAAAATACAAAAAATTAGCCAGGCGTGGTGGCGGGCGCCTGTAGTCCCAGCTACTCGGGAGGCTGAGGCAGGAGAATGGCGTGAACCCGGGAGGCGGAGCTTGTAGTGAGCCGAGATCGCGCCACTGCACTCCAGCCTGGGCGACAGAGCGAGACTCCGTCTCAAAAAAAAAAAAAAAAAAAAAAAAAGTTTTAATACGGGAAAGTTGATTTTATATCACCATCATCAAAAAATATTCAAATAATGATATTAACATCTGTAATATGAACCAACGGTAGCTGAAAACAGAAAAGAATGGTGAAAACAGTTATGTATACTGGAGTTTTTAAAATTACATCACTATTTTCTGTAAAATGAATGTGCTCCCTGGAACTAATGAGATTTGTGTCTTATGTTTGTAACCAGCAGAGATCGCGGACAGTGATGAAAGACTGGACGGCATTGCTCTACCACCAACAGGTAAATAAAACGCATTTACATTTTCATCACCTCCTGGAAAATACAGCCCACAAAACTATTTGCATTGAAAACGATTTTAACATTAGACATGCAGACACTTGAGCAAACTGCTTCTGCAGTGGACCAGGCCCCGTCATTGGAGCTTCTCAAGGCCCCGTACTCAGAGATGTTTTTCATACTGAATAGAAAAACGTTTTTCTCACACTCTTATTTTCATAAAAATCTCAGAAGAGCAAATCCTAAGAACTAAGTATCATAACATTTTGCCTCCCCAAACCTTTGGACATTACAAAATATTTTTAACGTGAAATGAGATTTCACCTTAAAACGGGGACCACTAATTTTGTGTGATCAAATTCATGGCTAGGCTGTCCTCTCCCACCTCCTCCAAACGGCCTTGGAGCCTTGAGCAGTCAATCAGTGGACACCCAGTGAATACTATGTTTTAACTGAGCGATTTGAACAAGGCCAGCCATCCGGCGTGAGTGGCACATTCCTAATACCAGGACCAGATCAGCTGAAGATACCCTTCCATGGAAGCATTTGCTGCACGCTGTTGTGTTAAGCCATAGACATAATTCCAACTTCATGTTATTTGACTCTCAAGTAATGCTTCTGACCCTGGCTTCCTACCTGTGTATGGGTTCATATCTGAGAGCCAGAGGGGCAGGTGTCTGATCAATGAGCCTTGTGGAAAACAATGTATCCCCTCCATTGGTCACAGGACTCTACTGACTTCCCTCCAAAGGATATCTGAAGATTCTCTGCCCACAAAACCCAGGTACCCCCAAAAACCCTCTTACTGAAAAGGTTCAACCGAATGTTTTTTCCTCTAGTTTTGGGGTGGTCTGTGTTGATTAAATTCAGCAAATATTAGTGGAGTCTCTAGGTTGTGTAGGAACTTGACTAGGCCATGTATTCATTGACAGCACATATCCCAAAATGGCAAGGAAAGCCACATTCGCAGGCATAGGATGGGCCTGTGCTAGTGAACTTCAGAGCTTCAGAGCAACAGGAAAATTCAGCCGTGTAAGAGACACATTGCTTTCTCTGCCACTGAGTAGCTAAGCAACAGATCAATGGACAGATAAATCAAATGAGCTACATAGTGCAAAAAGACCTGCCTACATCAAGTTCTTCCCATACAGAGTCATTATATAAAAGAGATTTCTGTTCTTCTTTGGCTGTGTTTTCACATTTGTGAATTAAGAGAATTGAAATACGTGATCTCTGTTGTTCCTTCCCAATTTGTCATTCTCTGAATATCAGGGCACGCATATCAGCCTCATTCTTATCACCTGGGCCCAATCCCAGCCGATCCATGAAATCCTAATCGTAATAGACCTAGCCTTCAGAAGGCCCTTCAGGGGAGCACCATGCCTTTCTAGCTGTGCTTCCCAAGTGCCCTCCCACCCTGGCCATCTGCACTGCCTGTCCTCCTGTGTCATGTGACACAGTGAGCTTTTATTATTTGAAAGCCACTCCCCTTGAAGTTTATATTCACCCCCAAGTGGTGAGTACGGAATGCCTTTGTATTTTCCTATCTGAAGTTGGAGATACGTTTCCAGTGAGAAAACTGAGGTCAGAGGGTGCTAGAAGAGCCTCATGGAACTGAAAAAAATGTCAAGGAATCTGAGAATGAGAAGGAACTTGAGAGATCCTCTAGTCCAATCCCTTCTTTTTATCCAGTCCTTTTATTTTACAGGAAAAAAAGCCTGAGGCCCAGAAACATTAAGTGGCTTTCCCACGGCCTCACAGCTGGTTGACGGCCTGGCCGGAACCCAGGTCCCTCGACTCCCAGCCATGATACCATATAGCTTTCTCATACCTAAGCCAAAGCCAGCTTTTCTCTGCATGTTTCTTAAAGATCCTAAGAGATGATGGATGTGCTAATCCCTTTAGGAGTCCTCTTCACTGTCTCAGTCTTCACAATTAAAATGTTCGTCGTCAGTCGGCCCGGTTCACTGCAGCTGAAACTCGTTTCTTCCAGTCTTTTCTCAAACTTTACCCAAGGCTGTGAGGTCATAATGAAGAAAATAGTATAACACACTTGCAGATCTTTTCATTAAACTATTGATAGATATTTGATACAAATCACTAAGCAGCATGATAAATAAAAACGTTTATCATTTAGAAAAGAGGAAAAGAGGCCGGGCGCGGTGGCTCACACCTGTAATCCCAGCACTTTGGGAGGCCGAGGCGGGCGGATCACAAGGTCAGGAGATCGAGACCATCCTGGCTAACACGGTGAAACCCCCGTCTCTACTAAAAAATATATAAAAAATTAGCCAGGCATGGTGGCGGGCGCCTGTAGTCCCAGCTACTCAGGAGGCTGAGGCAGGAGAATGGCGTGAACCTGGGAGGCGGAGCTTGCAGTGAGCCGAGATCGCGCCACTACACTCCAGCTTGGGTGACAGAGCGAGACTCCGTCTCAAAAAAAAGAAGGAAAAGAAGTCTCAGATTGATGCTCAAATTTTGCAGTAATAATATTAAGTAATCTTGATATTCACCTGGATAGCATGTCTCTTGATTGCCTCCAAAGTAAAATCCCCATTCTGGTTGGCTTCTTTGAATGCAGTGCTGCTCCTAACACCCCTCCTCACATGTGCCCTTTAAGGACTCCACCTTTCTCGCACATGTGGTTTCATCCTTGAGCTTGAGCCTCACTGGTCAGAACCACAGGATCGACCAAGGGCTCTGATACAGACTCTCATTATCCCATTTATCTGAGCTAGCAACAGTTAGTTCTTTTTAAAGATTCAACAATGCTTTTATTACTTTTTTAAGGTCTTTTTTCCTCCTTCCAAAGTTGTGTATTTGGGGGAAGGGCAGGGAAAGGGATGTAAATGCTTAAGTGTTTCTATGAACCAGAAGTGACTAGGGTAGGGTTACAGGCAGGTCAAATGACATTTGTTTGGATGCATTACATTTAAGCAACCTTCTGTTCATCAGGCTTTAGCAGAAATGGATTCACCTTCTGTAGTGCATCTATTTTAGTTTCCCTTAACCCTATTCACTAAGCCTTTTTGAGCAACTACCAAGAATCAGCCCCGTGTTGGGTGCTGGTGTACAAATGCCCTCAGACTAGTGTGAGAGGCAGAAGGAATTACATAAATGCTATAGCACAGATGTGTGGAGAGGGTCTGGGGCTCAAGAAAAGCCACCCAGGAGCTGGGGACAATTTGCATTAAAAAAAAAAGTATAGAGAAAGTGAAATCAAAACAGTGCTTTCTAAAATTTAAAATGGGGCTTCCAAATTTGAAATGGGGATGTTCATCTAGACTTAGCAATTGTCATAAATTGGCATTTTACATACTTTTAAAAAATTAATAAAAGTGTAAGGAAGAACATTTCAATTGCTTTTACCACCCACAGACAACCATTATTGGATGATTTTTCTCAAATGTTTCTCCATTTTATTTATTTATACAGTGGAGATCAAATATGTAAAATTTTGTTTCCTACATGTTTTTTTGATTTTTACCTAACAAGCATTTTTCCACTCTATGGCAAATCTTCATATGCATTATTTTAATAGCTGCATAATATTCTGTTTTGCAGGTAAATTATCTTTTAGGCCATTTTCCATGACTGGACAATATGTGGATATACTCTAATAGTAACACACATTCGTGGCCTTTCTCATAAAAAATCATTACAAATTTCCAATTTCTACAATTGCTCATGGAGGACAACTAAAGCCTTGGCTAAAAACTTAGCGACTTAAGTGTGAAACACAGACACCTCCCCAGTAAATTGTTTACTTGTCCAGAACGCCCACCTCCAGCCATGTCACAGAACCATGTACAACTCTTCCTTAGAGAAGCGGCTCTCCGCCTTCATTTTCTTGTCTCTGTTGTAGGTAATATATTTGACACCAGGAGAGAAAACACGGAGGACACAGAACCAGGTTTCATTGCCTAGACTTTGATTTTAGTGACATTGTTGAGTGGCATATGTAACTTCCGTTTGAATTTCCACAAAGATCCACGTAGCATTTCAGGTTCCTGCAAAGTGTGGGTGTTCTGTCAAGCTTACCTGTCATGTTTGAATAGTTTCATATACTTTCTTTGTAATGTGTGATAACCAAGCCTCCAATCTGGTATAAGATTTTTTAAATCATTTTTAGGGTTGATTTGTTACCCTTTAAAAGTCCAGCATATGATTCAGTGAGTTCATTGTCCATTATAAAGAAGTGGTTCTCTCTTCCCTGTTTTCATTCAAAACCTCAGTATGAATATAGAGCTTTGAAACGTATTTATTTTAATGTAAATTGCTTAGATGCAGTATAAAGGAGAATGGCTCTTTCCAGTGCTGAGAGAGCAGTTGTGAAGGCCAAGATTAATTAGACCTTCATCATCTTAGAAGATGAAAAAGTTGTTTTGGGAGATAGGATAGCTCTGACCTGTAAGATGAAATCATTCATGACGTCAGTGCCCCCCAAATAGCCATTTGTAACTGAGTAAGTGCAAATGACCTATGAGTTCTTAGGAAAGAAAAACCTTTCACCTAAGTTGCGTCAACACAATGACAAAATAACTAATTAAAAGGTGAGAAAACCAGTAAATTATCTACATGATACCTGACAGCCATTTTAACAGATGGTCTTAACGGAGTGCTACAGGGTTTTGGCACCATGTGGTAACTAGCTAAAAATGTACTTAATATTATGTCATTTATTTGGTTCCTAGTATACTTGCCCTCCACTTTATATAAAACTAATTTATGAAAATCTGGATTTATTTTAAAAAGATATCTTGCCATGAAGGTATTTGTTTTATAGAAATATTTACCTCCAGATTTCTTTCTCTAATAAGATGGTGAATTTAAAACACTGTGTTATTTAGAAACACTGCATTTACACTTCATTTATTGTATAAAGCAAATTGCATTGAATCTTCGCCACTTGACCCAAAGGCCAAAAATTGGCATGAGAACAATTTGGACTACACATCACCAAACCCGGGGTTCACACCTGTCCACTAGCAGTTCCAGTGCCTTCCCCTAGCCCTGGATTTGGCAAAGCACAGAATGTTAAGAGCTAAAAGTTATTGTAGAGGCTACTCAGTCCCACCCGGGAAACTGAGGATGAATGAGGGTAAGCGGTTGCCCAGAGCCCGTTAACCCCTCCGTGGCTGGGGCCCTGCCTAGAACCCGAATTTCCTGACTACCCTGTCCAAGGTATTCATGTCACATCACACTGAAACGCTAAACCTAGAGATAGGAGAGGCCCTCTGGGATAAATCCCTGTTCCACCAAAGACCAGCCAGTCATCAAAGATGAGAGAAGGCATCCCTGTACTGTAACAAAAAGCTGGCTTTAGGCGTGGCTTGTAGAATCAATCTAACTACTAGACAAGTTACATCTCATATATGTGTGGCTTCTTTTTCTTCTTTTGGGGGGCTACAAGGAAGGTTTGGAGAAATTATTTCCATCATACCTTTTTGTTAGCCTTTTTCCATTTCTGGCCAGTAAGTAATCCCGTTCCTGACAACAGTCCCTTTGTTTTCTCAAGTGGTCTGATGAAGGACTGCAAACCACAGCTCTTGTGTTTTTTGCACCATGGGTTTTAAAATCCGTCCTCTGCCTCCCACAAGGAGCTACTACCCAAGGGAAGGGAGAAGATTAATTGGTGACCTTTCGCCGTGTTAAAATAGGATGAGTATGTTGCTGGTCAAGGCAGAAACGCTAACTTCCAACTGTGGTCTGTTAAGAGATCTGCTGGGAACCTTCAGAAGCACTGCCTTCCAAGGCGGGGCCACAGCTTGGGGTGTTCAGCACTTGAGGACGGGTGGAGCTTGTTCAACCCAAAGATGTGTGCGATGAACGGATCTACACACTGGAAATACGTATCAAAACTGCAACAGCAAAATCATATTTTGTAAATTAAAATTGTGTTTACTTACTGTGACTACTGTTCAGTCTTTATTCAGAAACCTTTTTATAGGCTTTCTTAGCAAAAAAAAAATCCATATCTATGGATAATGTCTCAATCTTCTGTATATATGTTTTATTAATATGTAAATATTTAGATTTTTTAAAATTACTATGTTCTTTAAAAAAGAATTCAATGCAAGCCTGGTTGTGAAAATGGTGTATAACATTGTGTTGTGGTATCAATTCCCAAGATGCTCTTTATGTCTGATCTGGAAGAATACAATAAATTACTTTAATTGAACGTGCGTGCGGATCTTGCCTGTGTGCCGGTCTTCCTGTGTTTATGAAGAGAAGTCAGTGCTGTTCATTAATTAAAAGGTATCATTAATACTCTGATGATCTCCCACAGAAGTTATATCTCCTGATGAAGTTAATTTTTAAAAATAAAGAGACCACCTAGATTGCTGCCAGAGTGAAAGGCTTCAGACGCTGGAAAGGCTGTGTCTGGCTGTTAGATCAATGGCTACAGCAAGTCCCACAGAAACACTTGAGCGTTAAGTACAGAGATGCTTGAAGCCTAATTTTAAATGAATTAGGTAGCTTTATAATCTTCACTTAAAAGGTTAAGCCCTGCTTCTATGGAAACAACACATCAGACGGACAAATCAATCTTCTCCGATGCTGAGCGGCTGCAGCCGCAGAATCGCTCGCTTCCCCTCTTTGAACACAGGAGGGCGCCACTCCTCGCCGGGCACCTGCCCCCCGCCGCCTCCCGCGGGCGTGCTCTGTCCCCTGCTCTGAGCGGGCCGCACCAGCGGGCTGGAATCCAGCTTCTTCGGAGGTTCAATTCAGGGTCTGACTCTGGGCCCCTGGTTTTACAGGGGCCTGGGACAGCTGTGAGGAGAGGCGGGCGGGTAGGGGCAGGAGCTGCTGCCTGGGAAGGCACCCGCACCTGGGCAGGGAGCCACAGGGCGAGCTGTTGCAAAAACAGATGTGGGCTCCAGCCCGTGAGTCTTGCAGGTGTCCGCGCTGCTCTGAAGCTGGAGTCAGGCTCCAGTCCTCGCCTCTGCCCTGATGCCCCCAGCTTCCTGGGGTCCCTTGTGTCAGGGACCCACGTCATATCTTTTGGCCCAAGGCCTCTGGGATGCCCTTGATCCCACAGGGCTGGCAGGGATGGGTGCTTTGAGGTATCCTGGCAGAACAGCTCGAAGACCTCTCTAACCCAATGGCCAGGGGACCCCATTTCGCCACAGGAGGCTCCCCTGGAAGACGCTTGCACACCTGCCTCAGTCGTCACCTCTCCTATCCTCCAGCCGCCAAACCCCCCTCCCCAAGGATCTGGGGACACAGCTGGCTCATTTCCCAGCAGCACCCGAGTTCAGCTGCACCATTTTACTGAACACCAACTGGGCAGACACTGTGGGTGTTTAGGGCGACTGGTTTCGGGATAAAAGAGAAAAGACGGGCGAGAGGGGAGGCGGGGCCAAGTCCTGGCACTAAACTGTGCTAGCCTTGCGCCATGCCGAGGGGCTGGGACGGCGCGGGCAGCCGCGGAGCATCTGAAGGGAAAGGTGTTGATCGGAGTCCTATCTTAGGTCGATCCGCCTGGCTGAAGCAGGGAGCATTCGCAGGAGGGGGCGGGCTGAAGACAAGGGATCCCAAGAAGAGGCTGTTGGAAGGGGCTCAAAACCCACAAAGCCACGCCTGAGAAAGAATCAGCTCAGGCTGGAGGAGGGAGAATGTGTCAAAGCTGACACCAAGTTTCTGGCTGACGAACCAGGAGGGGTGTCACTTGCACTCACTAAGATAAGGACACAGGGTGTGACGATTTGGAGGAGACAGGTGAGTTACTCCATTCATTCATTCATTCACTCATTCATTCATTCCACAGGTGCTTGTGGTGGGCCCTGCACTGTTCTGCCGGGTGGGAGTGCAGCGGTGACCCTAGTCTTGCAGAGCTCACCTCAGACAATGTCACAAGAAAAGGGACAGATGGCAGAACCCTGGGAGGAGCAGCATCTCGTGCTCCTGAACAACCTTACCAGAGACAGAGCTGAAACAGGAGCTTTGTCCCAAACCAGCCAAGACTTCAAGCACCATTCATTCCTCATAACTCAGGTCTCAGCTACACTTCATCATCAGAGAGGGATTCGCAACTTTCCCACGCCAGGCTCAGCCAAGTCTCTTACCCTTCACATCTCTTGCCTCTCTCTCTGAAATTATCTTGCTTATTTATGTGTGTGTGTATCACCCATCTTTCCACTGGAATCTGAGCCTTGTGATGTCAGGCTGTTAAGATTTCAGGCCCTGGTGAAAACATGTTCAGGATGCCCTCTCTCCCCTTTGCCCAGCAAGAGTGGACTGATTAAAGTTGGACCTGAGGTTTCCATGAATATGCAACCGAGTCATTCTGACGACAGTGAGTCCTGGCCTCCCAGTGCTGCCAGTTACCAGAAGTGACTCCCCTTCTCCCATCAGCCCAAACCCAGAGCCTTTATCACAGAACCCAAGATTGAGAGGAGGGTCAGGCTGGTTGGACAGTGGCCTTATCATGGGATGGATGGATCAGGAGCCTTTTACAGCGCTCTCCTTTCCGCTGTATCCCATTGTCTTAGATCACGTGGACTTGCCTTTTCCCCTAATACCGCCCCCTCAGTGCTCTTCTATAATTGGAGAAATTGTGTCAATAGATCGACCAAAGAGATGCAGGTTGTACTCCATGAGAATTTAATAAACGCTAGCGATTCAAAGCAACTTGAATTTACACAGATCAACTCCTATTATGTTTTGTAACCTCAAATGCGTGAAATTGATTATCCCCCCGAAAGTAATATATACAGATATGTGTGTATATAAATATTTATTTCTATTTTGTTATTGGTGAAATTAAAAAGAATGTTTAAATGAATCACAGTTTTAAAAAAAAAGAATGTTCTGGCCGGGCGCTGCGGCTCACACCTGTAATTTGGGAGGCTGAGGTGGGCGGATCACGAGGTCAGGAGTTCGAGACTAGCCTGACCAACATGGTGAAACCCCGTCTCTACTAAAAATACAAAATTAGCCATCCTGGTGGTGGGTGCCTGTAATCCCAGCTACTCAAGAAGCCGAGGCAGGAGAATCGCTTGAACCCGGGAGGCGGAGGTTGCAGCGAGCCAAAATCACACCACTGCACTCCAGCCTGGACAACAGAGCGAGACTCCGTCTCAAAAAAAAAAAAAAAAAAAAAAAGAACGTTCTAGAAATGGAGCTTGGAGTGGGTAGTGCCCCACATGCTTTACACACACTGATATTCCAAATAGACCTGATAGTTAAAGGCCTTTTTAATTGTTTTATTTTTGGCCATTTTGGACTGTTCACTGAAACATGGAAAGGCATTTTAAACCTAAACTTTGAAACTAAGCTACTTTATGATTTCTTTCAAATGCTTTCCAAAAGCGAAGCTGATACAAGCGCAATCAAAGGAGGAGTAGTCGGAAACCAGCCGTCTAGCCTTGCATTTGTGTGTATCCTCCAACACGGTGCCAAGACATTCAAAACATGGAGCGCCCTCCCCGTGAACTGGAGTGAAAAATGACTTTACACAGGAAATTAAGCATCCTAAGTTGTTTCACTGAAGTGGTGGCCCAGTTGCAGGTTCAGTTAGAAAAACTATTTTCTGCTATACTCTAGCAATGGAGGGAGAAAGAGAATACATTAAAATAGAGGACACTTACTCTGTGTATTATCAAATTAAGTACCCTCCAAAAATGATGTATTTCTAACCACTAGACAGAGAACATCAGAAGTGACTCAATTAACAAAACCCAGGCTAACCCCGTCCCCCTCCGGTGATGCACACGGTAACGGTGCTCTGTCCTTCTGGGAAATATTTCACTAGTGTGAGCTATACCACTTTCTCCCCCTCCTGCCTCTCCCTGATGCTTCCTAGAACATGGACCGATAGCCACAGGCAGCTTTGACTCTTGTTCAGATTCCGTGTTTGTTTTTATCATCATACCATGCGATGTTCCAGTGCGTTTGTCCTTCCTACCTGCCCCCATTAATGTTGCCTGGCAACCTTAACCACAGCCCGTTCCTCCCGTGCCTTGCCCCAGTGGGATCGGTTCACTAGTCATGGCACAGTGGACTTATTTTAAATGTTCGACTGACTCCCGGACACTGGCTGGACACTGATTTCTAGCCAGGAGCCTGCGTGCACCATGACCCTGTCGTTATGATAGCATACAGCTTTAGAAAGTAAACACTCTCTGGCCGGGCATGGTGGCTCACACCTGTAATCCCAGCACTTTGGGGGACTGAGGCGGAGGGAGGATCACAAGATCAGGAGTTCAAGAACAGCCTGGCCAAGATGGTGATACCCCGTCTCTACTAAAACTAAAAAAAATTAGCCAGGCACAGTGGCAGGTGCCTGTAATCCCAGCTACTCAGGAGGCTGAGGCAGGACAATTGCTTGAACCTGAGCAGCAGAGGTTGCGGTGAGCTGAGATGGCGCCACTGCACTCCAGCCTGGGCGACAGAGTGAGACTCCGTCTCAAAAAAAGAAAAGAAAAAAAAAAGTGAACACTCTCAAAGACCAAGAGACAACTTTTGATTGGAAAGCATCCAGTGACTTCAGGGGTAGGGATGAGGAGGTGGCGGAAGCTGGCGAAATTAGTCGAAGCCATTGGAAAGACTGAATGCAGGTGTGTTCATCCATTTTCACACTGCTATAAAGAAATACCCGAGACTGGGTAATTTATAAAGGAAAGCGGTTTCATTTACTCACAGTTCCACGTGGCTGGGGAGGCCTCAGGAAACGTACAGTCATGGCAAAAGGTGAAGGAGAAGCAAGCACCTTCTTCACAAGGGGGCAGGAAACAGAAAACGAAGGAGGAGCTGCCAAACAGAAAACCATCAGATCTCGTGAGAACTCTCTCACTATCACGAGAACAGTTTGAGGAAACCACCCCATGATCCAACCACCTCCCATCAGGTCCCTCCCTTGACACGTGGGAATTACAATTCAAAATGAGATTTGAGTGGGGACACAGAGCCAAACCATATCAGCAGGAGAAAAGCCCCTCCAAAAAAATGCTTTAAAAAATGTGAGAGAGTGGTTGAGTGCAGTGGCTCAATCCTCTAATCCCAGTGCCTTGAGAGGCCAAAGTAGGAGGACTGCTTGAGGCCAGGAGTTCAAGACCAGCCTGAACAGCATAGCGAGATAACCATTTCTTTTTTTTTTTTTTTTAAGACAGAGTCTCGCTCTGTCACCCAACCTGGAGTGCAGTGGCATGATCTCAGCTCACTGCAACCTCTGCCTCCCAGGTTCAAGCAATTCTTCTGCCTCAGCCTCCCAAGTAACTGGGATTACAGGCATGCGCCACCACACCTGGCTAGTTTTTGTATTTTTAGTAGAAACAGGGTTTCACCATGTTGGCCAGGCTGGTCTCGAACTGTTGACCTCAGGTGATCCGCCTGCCTTGGCCTCCCACAGTGCTGGGATTACAGGCATGAGCCACTGCGCCCGGCCAAGACCCCGTTTCTTTAAAAAAAAAATTGCTGGGCGGTGGTGTGAGCCCATAGTCCCAGCAACTTGGGAAACTGAGACAGAAGGATCCCTTGAGCCCAGGAGGTTGAGACTGCAGTGAGCTATGATTGTAACACTGCACTCCAGCCTGGTTGACAGTGAGCCCGTCTCCAAAAAAAAAAAAAAAAAAAAAAAAAAAATCTCTAAATAGTATGTGCTGCTTTTGCATTGAGAAGGGAAAGTTTTTTTTTTTCTCAATATATACTAGTATAGAAGAATATTGAATGGCATAGAGGAATGTTCATGATACACTTACTGTTACATAATATGTTCTGCCTGCTTGTATTTTTTTAATTTCAAAAACACTTATTTTTATAGTTAGTTGTGATTGTAACTACAGACTAATTGCAGCATCCAAAAACTATGTACCAATAGCTGCCTACAGCTTTAAAAAGGTATAGACAATGTGTTAATTAACCAGCGCCTGATCCCTTTTTTTCCTTTTTTTTTTTTTTTTTTTTTTTGAGACAGAGTCTTGCTTTGTTGCCCAGGCTGGAGTGCAGTGGCACGATCTCAGCTCACTGTAACCTCCGCCTCCCGGGTTCAAGCGATTCTCCTGCCTCAGCCTCCTGAGTAGCTGGGATGACAGGCATGTGCCACCACAACTGGCTGATTTTTGTATTTTTAGTAGAGATGGGGTTTCACCATATTAGTCAGGCTGGTCTCAAACTCCTGACCTCGTGATCTGCCCGCCTCGGCCTCCCAAAGTGCTGGGATTACAGGCGTGAGCCGCTGCGCCCAGCTGCCTGATCACATTTTTAAGAGCAGTATTTATAAGCATGTACAGAAAAAAGAAGGAAGTTGTTAACAGTGGTTACCTCTGGCTGGTAGAATTGCAGGTGATTTTTAAAAATTATATGTTTTAAGTATTCTAAAATGAACACGTATCATTTACTAAAAAAAAAAAAAAAGAAAGGTAAAGGAAAAAACTCAGTGGCATATGTATCAGTATATATGTAATGCTTACTGCTTGGATACTGTTAGGAAAACCTGAAATATCTTGAAATATAACAGGCTTCTCGTGTATCACATAAACTCCAATGAAAACTTCAGCATCCAGCTCCTTGTTACTCCCATAATATGTACATCAAACCCATTTACAGAACTCTGGAGGTTAATGCTTTACTTTGAAGGAAAAAAAATCACTCTGAAGCTTAAGAGCAAAAGGATATCCTCTCTGCAGTTTGAAAGGAAACTGGAGACAGAGCTTTATAAAAAATGCATTAGTTGCAAGCCGAGAAGAAACCCATCTGAGGTGTGAGTGCATTTGACACATCAGTTCAAAAAACAATACAGCCAAGACCTTTGGAATTTGGAGAGAAAGACTAAGAAAAATAAAATGTGGGATGGGTTGCTGTAAACAAGTCCAAGAACCTAACGAGTTCAGGCCACGATGGTGCTCTCGTATGCTTCTTCCTGATCTATGCAGTTTTACACAGACCTGGCAGGTGATGTGCTTTGGAGAAACAGATTTGCAACTCTCAAGCCATGTATAGTGTCAACTCCCTCTGAATACTGTCAAACACATATCAGACTTGCATTGCAAGTTGGACACTGCTCCTTTTTTTGAGTTTTGCTCTTGTTGCCCAGGCTGGAGTGCAATGGCGCGATCTTGGCTCACCGCAACCTCCGCCCCCGGGTTCAAGCGATTCTCCTGCTTCAGCCTCCTGAGTAGCTGGGATTACAGGCATGCACCACCATGCCTGGCTAATTTTGTATTTTTAGTAGAGATGGGTTTTCTCCATGTTGGTCAGACTGGTCTCAAACTCCCCACCTCAGATGATCCGCCCACTTCAGCCTCCCAAAGTGCCGGGATTACAGGTGTGAGCCACCACGCCCAGCCACTGGGCACTGTTCTTAAGCTTCATTCCTGCAGTTTAACTCAGGTCATCCTTGAAACCATCTGTATTAGGGTTCTCTAGAGGGACAGAACTAATAGGATATATATATATACACTATACATATATATATATAAACGTATATATATGTGTGCGTATATATATATGTATATATATGTGTGTGTATATGTGTGTGTGTGTGTGTGTGTGTGTATATATATATATATATATATATATATATATATATATATATAAAGGGGAGTTTATTAAGTATAAATTTGCATGATCACAAGGTCCCAAAATAGGCCATCTGCAGGCTGAGGAGCAAGGAGAGCCCGTTTGAGTCCCAAAACTGAAGAACCTGGAGTCTGATGTTCAAGGGCAGGAAGCATCCAGCATGGGAGAAAGATGTAGGCTGGGAGGCTAGGACAGTCTAGCCTTTTCACATTTTTCTGCCTGCTTTATATCCTGGCCTCACTGGCAGCTGATTAGATGGTGCCCACCCAGATTAAGGGTGGGTCTGCCTTTCCCAGCCCATGGACTCAAATGTTAATCTCCTTTGGTAACCCTCTCACAGACACATTCAGGATCAATACTTTGCATCCTTCAATCCAATCAAGTTGACATTCAGTATTAACCATCACACCATCCTGTAAAGTAGATACCACTCCTGTCCCCACTTAACAGATGAAAGAAATTAGGCACCTTCTTCTAGCTCACATAACTAAGAAGGAGTTTTTTTAGCCAGGATTGAACCTAGGGAATATGACTCCAACTCACATTCTTAGCATCTGTTTTGCCCGTCAAGTAGCCTTATTAGTGGAGAGAAGTATCCAGAATAACCCCAGTGGGGGCCCAGCCCATGTGATTTGCCTTTACAGTGATCTTTATACTTCTATTTGCATGAAAGCATTGCACTAGGAATGATAACACATGTTGATTAAATGCTTCTTATGAGCTAGGCATTGTCATAAGTATTTTACAGATAACGATTCCGTTATCCATTATAAGCCTGGAAGTACTATTATACCCATCCCCACTTCACAGGTGAGAAGACTGAGTTACACAGAGCTTAAGTAACTTGCCCAAAGTCACATAGTTAACAAGTAGCAGAGCCAGGATCCAACCCCAGACCTTCTGATCTAGAGCCTGTACAGCTGATCTCTATGCTGTGGGATGTACTTCCAGAGAAATGTGTTGCCTACTGGTTCTGTGTCAGGCCTTGTTTAAAGTGTGCTATTTGAATCATCTCTTTGGAAATGTCCCTAACTAACACACTGCCAGAAAGAGGCTGGGAAGTAGTGTCTTCAACCTGACAGCTGGTTCTCTATTAAAATGTTTCCGGGCCGAGGGCAGTGGCTCACACCTATAATCTCAGCACTTCGGGAGGCCAAGGTGGGCAGATCACGAGGTCAAGAGATTGAGACCATCCTGGCCAACATGGTGAAACCCCATCTCTACTAAAAATACAAAAATTAGCCGGACGTGGTGTTGGGCGCCTGTAATCCCAGCTACTCGGGAGGCTGAGGCAGGAGAATCGCTTGAACCCAGGAGGTGGAGGTTGCAGTGAGCTGAGATCAATCCACTGCCCTCCAGCCTGGCGACAGAGCGAGACTCTGTCTCAAAAAGAAAAAAAAATTTCCAAGGGAACCTAGCAGACTGATTCCAAGAGGGAGCTTTTGATCAGAATGACCAGTATGAAAATAAGTACTGGCTATATCATATATATATATATTTTTTTTTTTTTTTTGAGACAGAGTATTGCTCTATCACCCAGGCTGAAGTGCAGTGGTGCGATCTTGGCTCACTGCAACTTCTGCCTCCCCAGTTCAAGAGATTCTCCTGCCTCAGCCTCCCGAGTAGCTGGAATTACAGGCACATGCCACCACGTCTGGCTAATTTTTGTATTTTTAGTAGAGACGGGGTTTCACCACATTGGCCAGGCTGTTCTCAAACTCCTGACCTCAAGTGATCCTCCCGCCTCAGCCTCTCAATCTAGCATTTATTAATAAAGCTCTGGTGCCTTTTTTTCCTTCATTCCCCACCCCCTGACCCCCTGCCCTCTCCATCATCCATCCATCCACCAAAAGAATTAGGGGAGACTGAGATGGCAGGCAAACTATCCCCAGAATGGTGAAAGCCACCAAAATCACTGGGAACCCTCACTTTAGTGGGGAGACGTTTGCTGCAGGTGGCTGGGGGAGCAGGAAAGAGGTGAGGCTGTTGAACAGTGCTCCTGGAAAGGGGATTCCCTAGACCAACAACATCGGCATCACCTGGAAATGTAATAGAAATGCAATATCTCTAGCCCCAGCTCAGACCAACAGCTCAGAGGCTCTGGGAGTGGGACTGGTGTGTTTCATGATGCCCTCCAGGTGATCCTGGAGCACACTCAAGTTTGGGAACTACAGCCCTAGGAGATGTGGAAGATAGGGCAAGGCCCCAACCTCAGAGCCCTGATTGGGATATGAGTGACTTGGAAGTAGTAATAATTAGGTGGGAACTCTCCCTCAGCGAATTAGAGCAAATTCCGTTTTCCCTGTGATAGCATCACTGTCCCTTACTTTCTGATGGAGACATCTAAGTGGCATGACAGAAGCATCTGGAAGGGCCAATCCCCCGGGTGAACCTCTGGAGGTGGGTCAAGCCTGGGAGTGCAGACAGTTAGTGTTGCTGTTGGGAAAAGTTCAACACTCGGTCCCCTCTTTGCTGTTGGGATTGAGGCCCAGCAAGGGCAAGGAAGAGGCAGAGCCAGGACCCGACACCGGAACCTCTCGCTCCCTCAGGCCACATAATCTGCCTGTCAGCGCCCTTCCCCAGCTCCTTCTTGGGCCCAGTTGTGTGTTCCTTGGACCTCGCTCTCTCCCCTCCCCTTGTACGCATGCTCTGGAGTGTACGTGCCCACCTAACTCCGCTGGCCTTGACCCTCACTCTGCCCTCTAGAACCACCTTGAGTCCCACAAACATGATGCTCCAGGAGGCCTCAGTTCCCCTTGGTTCCTCTAACAGCTCTGGCAGGTGCTCAGGGGAGACAGAGGCGCCAAGGGGAGGTAGAGGTGCCAAGGGGAGGTGGAGCAGATGAATTAGGTAAGTTCTCCTGAAGAAAAGAGTAGGGAAGAGGAGCATGGCTTGGCAGAGATATGTGGAAAGGCAAGACATAAAGGAGAAATCCACTGATACTTACAGAGGCTATTTCTTAATGCAAAGGAAAAGTACTAGTAATATAAAAACAAAATTTTTGCTAAAGTATATGGGCTACATGATCCCACTTTATTTTCCAAAGATGTATAGATTTACATAAGAGTCTGGAAATCTACATCAAAACATTTGCAGTGATTATCTCCAGATGCTGCAACTGCAATTTCTGTTTCCTTCTTTTCTTATTTTCTGCATTAAGCATTCATTGACTTTTTTCAGATATAATTCACATACCATAAAATTCACCACTTTAAGCCATGCAATTCACTGGTTTTTAATTGATTCACAAAGTTGCACAACCACCATCACCTTCTAATTCCAGAACATTCTCTTAACCCCAAGAAGAAACCCTGCTCCCCTGAGCAGTCACTCACCAACATTGCTCCGTTCCCAGCCCGAGGCAACCACAAATTACTTTCTCTCCCTTTGGATTGGTCTCTTCTGGACATTTCATATAAATGGAATCATACAATGTGTGGTCTTGTGCGACTGGTCTCTTTCACTCAGCATGTTTTCAGGGTTCACCCATGTTACAGCAGGTATCAGCACTTCATTGCTTCTTATTGCCAAATAATATTCCATTACATGGACAGACTGCATTTTATTTATCCATTTATCAGTGATAGACCTTTGAGTTATTTCCACTTTGGGGCTATTATAAATAATGCTGCTCTAAACATTTGTGTACCAGTCTTTGTGCAGACATATATGTTCAATTCTCTTGGGTATATGGGTAGGTGTGGGATTGCTGGGTCATATGGTAACTCTATGTTGAAATTTTTTTTTTTTTTTTGAGACAGGGTCTTGCTCTGTCACCCAGGCTGGAATGCAGTGGCACCATCATACCTCACTGCAGCCTCAACCACCTGGGTTCAAGCAATCCTCCCACCTTAACCTCCAGAGTAGCTGGGACTACACCACACCTGGCTAACTTTTTCTTTTTTAGAGGCTGAGTCTGACTATATTGCCCAGGCTAGTCTCAAACCCCTGGGCTCAGACCACCCTCCTGCCTCAGCTTCCCAAAGTGCTGGGATCACAGGTGTGGGCCACCACGCCTGGCCTATATTGAACTTTTTGGGGAAATACCTGTTTCCCAAAGAATCTGAACCATTTTACATTCCTACCAGCAATGTATGAGGGATCTGATGTCTCCACACACTTGCTAATACTTGTGATTGTTTGTTTTCTTATAGCCATCCTAGTGAGTGTGAAGTGGTACCTCACTGTGGTTGTGATTTGCATCTCTCTGGTGATTAATAATGCTGAGCATCTTTTTAAAATATATATTTTTACATTTTTTATATTTAATTGACAAATAACAATTGTATATAACTATGGGGTATGATGCGACACTTTGATATATGTGTACATTACGGAACGATCAAATCTAGCTAATTTACCTATTCATCACCTCACACACATCATTTTCTGTGATGAGAACATTTGAAATACATTCTCTTAACAATTTTGAAATATACTATACTTTAACTACAGTCACCATGCTGTGCAATAGATCTCAAAAACTTATTCTTTCTATGTAACTGCAACTTCGTATCTTTCGACCAACACCTGATTCCCTCCCCACTCCACCATCCCCCACTCCCAGCCCCTGGTAACCACCATTTTACTCCACATCTAAGGATTCAACATTTTTAGGTTCCACATAGAAGTGAGGTCACACAGGGCCGGGCAAGGTGGCTCACACCTGTAATCCCAGCACTTTGGGAGGCCAAAGCGGGTGGATCACCTGAGGTCAGGAGTTCGAGATTAGCCTGGCCAACATGGTGAAACCCCGTCTCCACTAAAAATACAAAAATTAGCCGGGCATGGTGGCACATGCCTATAATCCCAGCTACTCAGGAGGCTGACCCAGGACAATCGCTTGAACCCAGGAGGCGGAGGTTGCAGTGAGCTGAGGTCTTGCCATTGCACTCCAGCCTGGGTGATGAGCGAAACTCTATCTCAAAAAAAAAAAAAAAAAAAAAAAAAGTGAGGTCACAGAGTATTTGCCTTTCTGTACCTGGTTTATTTTATTTGGCATAGTGTCCTCCAGACTCATCTGTGTTGTCACAAATCACAGGATTTCCTTTTTAATAGCTGAATATGCCCCCATTGTGTATATAGACCAAATTTTCTTTATCCATTGATGGACACTTAGCTTGATTTCCCATCTTGGCTGCTGTGAATAGTGCTGCCATGAATATGAGAGTGCAGGTATCTCTTCAACAGACTGATTTTAATTCCTTTGGATATGTACCCAGTAGTGGAATTGCTGGATCATGTTCTATTTTTAGGTTTTGGGGGATCTTCCATACTGGGGTGTCTGGAGTTGGTTCCTGTCGGTGGGTTCGTGGTCTCGCTGACTTCAAGAATTGAGCTGTGGACCTTCGTGGTGAGTGTTACAGCTCTTAAAGATGGCACAGACCCAAAGAATGAATGGTAGCAAGTTTTATTGTGAAGAGTGAAAGGACAAAGCTTCCACAGCATGGAAGCGGACCCCAGAAGGTTGTTGCCTGCTGGCTGGGGTGGCCAGCGTTTATTCCCCTTATTGTCCCCACCCATGTTCCCTTTCTGTCCTATCAGAGTGCCCTTTGTTCAATCCTCCCCGCAATTGGCTACTTTTAGAATCCTGCTGATCGGTGCATTTTACAGAGTGCTGATTGGTGCGTTTTACAGAGTGCTGATTGGTGCGTTTTACAATCCTCTTGTAAGACAGAAAAGTTCCTGATTGGTGCGTTTTACAGTCCTCTTGTAAGACAGAAAGTTCCCCAAGTCCCCACTCCACCCAGGAAGTCCAGCTGGCTTCACCTCTCACTGTTATCCATAGCGGCTGTACCAATTTACATTCCCACCAACAGTGGACAAGGGTTGCCTTTTCTCCGCATCCTTGGCTACACTTGTTATCTTTGATCTTTTTGATGATAGCCATCCTAACAGGTGTGAGGTGACAGCTCATTGTGGTTTTAATTTGCATTTCTTTTTTATTTCAGTAGCTTTAGGGGTACAAGTAGTTTTTGGTTACATAGATGAATTGTACAGTGGTCAAGTCTGAGATTTTAGTACCCATCACCCAAGTAGTGTACACTGTACCCAATATGTAGTTTTTCAATCCCTCACCCCCTCCCACCCCCTCTTTCTGAGTCTTCGATGTCCATTATATCTTTGCATATGCCTTTGCATACCCATAGCTTAGCTTCCACTTATGAGTGACAACATGTGGTATTTGGTTTTTCATTCCCAAGTTCCTTCACTTGGAATAATGACCTTCAGCTCTATCCAAGTTGCTGCAAAAGACATTCTTTCTTTCTTTTTTATTGCTTAGTAGTATTCTATGGTATATGTATATTACATTTTCTTTATCCACTCATCTCTTGATGGGCACTTAGGTTGATTCCATATCTTTGCAATTGTGAATTGTACTACAATAAACATATGCATACTGTTGTCTTCCTGATATAATGACTTCTTTTCCTTTAGGTTGATACCCAGTAGTGGGATTGCCGGATCAAATGGTTCATCTGCTTGTAGTTCTTTCAGAAATCTCTATACTGTTTTCCACAGAGGTTGTACTAATTTACATTCCCACCAGCGGGATATAACCATTCCCTTTTAACTACATCCACACCATCTATTGCTTTTTGACTTTTTAATAATGGATATTCTGGTTGGGTAAGGAGGTATCTCACTGTGGTTTCAATTTGCATCTCCCTGATGATTAGTGATGTTGAGCATTTTTTCGTTGTTGGGCATTTGTATATCTTCTTTTGAGAAATGTCTATTCATGTCATTTACCTACTTTTTGATGGGATGATTTGGTTTTTTTCTTGCTGCTTTGTTTGAGCTCCTTGTAGATTCTGGATACTAGTTTTCTGTCAGATATATAGTTTGCAAATATTTTCTCCCATTCTGTGAATTGTCTGTTTACTCTGGTGATTATTTCTTTTGCTGTGCTGAAGGTTTTTAGTTTAATTAGGTCCCATGTATTTATTTTTGTTTTTATTGCATTTGCTTTTGGGAACTTAGGCACAAATTCTTTGCCTAGGCCAATGTCCAGAATAGTTTTTCCTAGGTTTTTTCCTAGAATTTTTGTAGTTTCAGGTCTTAGGTTCAAGTCTTTAACCCATCTTGAGTTGATTTTTTATATGGTGAGAGATAGAGATCTGGCTTTATTCTTCTACATGTGGCTATCAAGTTTTCCCAGCATCATTTATTGAATAGAGTGTCCTTTCTTCAATTTATGTTTTTGTATGATTTGTTGAAGATCAGTTGGTTGTAAGTATTTGACTTTATTTATGGGTTTCCCATTCTGTTCCATTGGTCTATGTATCTACTTTTATACCTGTACTATGCTGTTTTGGTAACTACAGACTTGTAGTATAATTTATAAAGTAATATGATGCTTCCAGATTTGTTCTTTTGCTTAGGATTGCTTTGAACTATTTGGGCTCTTTTTTGGTGCCATATGAATTTTAGGATTGTTTTTTCTAATTCTGTGAAAAAACAAAGTTGGTATTTTTATATGAATTGCATTGAATATGTAGATTGCACTGGGCAGTATGGTCATTTTCATGATATTGATTCTCCAATCCATGAGCATGGGATGTGTTTCCATTTGTTTGTGTCATCTATGATTTCTTCAGCAGTATTTTGTAGCTCTCCTTGTAGAGAACTTTCATCTTCTTGGTTAAGTATATCCCTAGGGTTGTTTTTGTTTTGTTTTTTGCAGCTATTGTGAAAAAGACTGAGTTCTTGATCTGATTCTCAGGTTGGCCGTTGATGAGTAGCAGTACTACTGATTTGTATACATTAATTTTGTAACCTAAGACTTTACTGAATTCATTTATCAAATCTAGAAGTATTTTGGAGAAGTCTTTGGGGTTTTCTAGGTATACAATCATATCATCAGCACACAGAGATAGTTTGACTTCTTTTCCAGTTTGGATGTCCTTTCTTTCTCTTGCCTGATTGCTCTGGCAAGGATTCCTTCATTTGCATTTCTCTGACCTGAACATCTTTCTCTGTGCTTATTGCAAAACAGAATTCTTATCTCTGTCTTGCTTAAGAGGGTACTGATCCTCAAAAAGTTTACGTGCCTTCCCAAAAACCATATAATAAAAATAGAATAATTGTTTAAATGCAGGCTCTGGAGCCAAAATCCTGGCTTTTCTACTTATTATCTGTGATGCTCAGGCCTCAGTTACCTCATCTGTGAAATGGGAGCAATCATAACTGCCTAAAAATGTGTTGTGAGATTCAGAAATAAAATGTCAAATTAACACCGCTACCTGACCCCTAAGAGAGTCACCGTATAAATGGCAGCACAATTATCATCTTCCGACAAGGCAGGGTAAGGGCTGCAAGATGTGAGGCAGATTCTCCTGACCATTCTTGCCTCTGCATGGTGGTGGACTGGCCTCTCCCTTTGCTGAATGTTTTTCCCACAGATATTAGATCAAATCTAGAGTTGTAGTTCACGGAGGGAAACAGACAAACGGGAAATCTGTATCCCTCTTGATCCCAGATCAGTTGTTTAGAGAGCCCAAATAAGCTCCCGTGGTGGTACTGAGTGCCGGAATCAGAAGGAAAACAAAAAAAGAGTTCTTATTTTTTGGGATGATCTTTGTTTTTGTCAGTCCAGGTTGCTGTAACAAATTACCATAGGCTGGGGGGCTTAAACAATGAACATTTATTTCTCATAGTTCTGGAGACTGGAAGTCTGAGATCAGGGTGCCAACATGATCGGGTTCCAGGCAAAGGCCCTGTTCCTGGTTCACAGACACCTGCCTTCTCACTGTGACCTTACATGGTGGAGAGCAGAGAGAGGAAGCAAGCTCTTTCCTTTTTTTTTTTTTTTTAGGCCCAGAGTCTCACTCACTCTGTCACCCAGGCTGGAGCACAGTGGTGCAATCTCAGCTCACTGCAACCTCTGCCTTCCACGCTCAAGCAATTCTCCTGCCTCAGCCTCCCAAGTAGCTGGGACTACAGGCATGCACCACCATGCCCGGCTAACTTTTGTATTTTTAGTAGAGACAGGGTTTTGCCATGTTGGCCAGACTGGTCTTGAACTCCCGACCTCAAGTGATCCACCGCTTTGGCCTCCCAAAGTGCTGGGATTACAGGTGTGAGCCACCTCACCCAGCCTTTCCTGTCTCTTTTATAAGGGCACTAATCCCCTCATAAGGGCCCCACCCTCCTGACCAAATCACCTCCCAAAGGCCCTACCTTCTAATATCATCTCCCTGGGGGTTAGGATTTCAACATGTGAATCTGTGGGGGACATACAAATGCAGTCAATAACCATCAGAATCCCAGTGGGCTCCTTGTAGCCAATGGTCATTGGTCCAACTTTAGTTTTCTGTGCTACAATATGACACAGTGATGTGGAAAAAGAGGATAATAATATTATTATAATTATTACTATGAGACTGGCTCGGTGGCTTACACCTGTAATCTCAGCACTTCAGGAGGCCAATGCAGGCGAATGACTTGAGGTCAGGAGTTCAAGACCAGCCTGGCCAACACGGTGAAACCCCATTTCCACTAGCAAGGCATGGTGGCACACACCTGTAATCACAACTACTCGGGAGTCTGAGGCAGGAGAATCCCTTGAACCCAGGAGGCAGAGCTGAGACCGTGCCACTGTACTCCGACCTGAGCAACAGAGCGAGACCCTGTCTCAAAAAAAGTAATTAATTAATTAACTTTTTAAAAAATTATTATGGAATTTGGAAAGATTGGGGCACTGGTAATTCAATTCCGGCGGGTCTTCTGATCTTGGAATTCACAAGTTATCAAGCCAAATGCTGAACCTGCGCAGGGAAGACAGAAAAAGTGAAACCTCTGTGCATTTCCTTACCCTGCCTGCTAACCAGCCCCTCCATCCTGCCGGTTCCATGCTGGGGGCGTGGGGAGACAATGTCCCTTCTTACAACTGAGAAAGAGCACATGCTAGGGAGGCCTGAGACTTACTCTCCTTTTTTTTCAACGAATTTAATTCTTTCCAAAGATGAAATATAAACATGCAAAGATTCTCTGTAATAATGATGATACATGAGCTAACATTTATTGGATTCTTAACCCTGGGAGGGCCCACACAGATCTCTCAGCATGCATTATGCCATTTAATATTTACAGAAAACCCTGAGTTCAGAACCGATGCTAGAGATGGAGAAAATGAGGACCAGAGGCAAATAATTTGAGTATTATAATGTTGCCCCAAAGCTGAAATTTTTAACCATCCATTGTGACATCTAAAAACCCGGCTTCCCTTTCTGCTGAGTTTCTCTGGCTCTACACCTGAATAATAGTTTCAATAAACTCCACCAGGTGTCATCTACATATTTTTTCACAAATAAGTCCAAGGTACAGTTTATCATCCTCTGAATGCTAACAAATTCTGAAGATGCAAAACCTACAGGGTGTGTATAAATAATTTCACTCAGCGGTATAAATATGAATACTGTTTAAAAAAATAAACAACCTTGTTTCCCTAAGTTGTTGTGTTACCTCTTCTCTCCTGGACTTTTTATTGGCTCTCTGGTGCCAGTAGGAACCTGTTCTAAAACTGATTAGCCCTGAGAAAGACTCTGTAATCAAATAAATCTGAAGTTAGGCGTGCTTTCAATTTTTGTTAAGAAGTGAGTTTTTTTTTTTCCAAACAGGACGTGTTTCCCAAAGAAAGCTTGGTGTCTTTTGTATTCTAAAACATGTCTGCGTCTGTGATTTCAAAGGACAGTAGAACCAATTCTGTTTGTAACTGGCCAATTTCAGTTCCTGTGAAAGACCCGTGGAGGAAGTGGTTTGTGAATAAGATTTGAATAAAGCGTATTATTAGATCTCAAAGAGAATCAGTAGATTCTAACGTAGTTTTCCTTGCATTTCATCAATAAAGCAATGTCGTTATGAAGGCACTGCAATCATGTCTTCTCTTGTTGGTTTGAAAGCTTGTTTTTTGTCGCTGTTGATCGGCCTTTGGAAGGTCTATCCTAAGGACAAATTCCTTTGGTTCTGCAATGCGTCATCGCTGCAACCATACCTTAAGGCTCAGAACACCTAGGGAGATAAATAGAAGTTAATTTTGTTATCTGGGCTTTATCAGTAAATTTCAACTTGGAAAGATTACGTGACATGCCCTAAGTCCCACATTCAGCCACACTGGGAAGGCTGAGCACAGTTATACGCAGAGCCTTAACATACTGAAGACAGAATCTGGGGGATCCCAGGCTCATCTCTTACTTTACTGTCGATCTCAAAGACAATCAATAGAGGCCCAGTGCAGTGGCTCACACCTGTAATCCCAACACTTTGGGAGGCTGAGGCAGGGGGATCAGTTGAGGCCAGGAGCCCAAGACCAGCCTGGCCAACATGGTGAAACCCCATCTCTACTAAAAATACAAAAATTAGCTGGGCGTGGTGGCAGGTGCCTGTAATTCCAGCTACTCCGAAGGCTGAGGCACAAGAATCACTTGAACCCAGGAGGTGAAAGTTGCAGTGAGCCAAGATTACACCACTGCACTCCAGCCTGGGTGACAGAACAAGACTCCATCTAAAAAGAAAAAAGAGAGAGAGAATCACTAGATTCTAACATAGTTTTCCTTGCATTGCATCAATAAAGCAACATTGTTATGAAGGCATTGCAATCTTGTCTTCTCCTGTTGGTCTGAAAGCTTGTTTTTTGTTGTTGTTGATCAGCCTTTGGATGGTTTGTTTGGTTCTGCAGAAGCCAGGAGGGTTAGGGGCTGTTAGACTGAATTATGGGCCCCCCTCAATCTCCCAGAATCCATATGTTGAAATCCTCAGCCCCAGTGCCTCAGAATGCAAGTGGGTTTGGAGATAGGGTCTTTGCAGAAATCATTAAGTTAAAAATGAAGACATTAGAGTGGGCCCTAGTGCTAATTCTAAAACCTGGTGTTCCAATTATAAGAAGATTTTGACACAGACACACACAGAGGGAAGAGAACTGTGAAGCCATGGAGAAAAGACAGCCATCTGCAAGCCCAGGAGAAAGGCCTAGAGCAGACCCTTCCCCCACAGCCCTCAGAAGGACCAGCCCTACAGACACCTTCAGTTGCACTTCCAGCCTCCAGAATGGTGAGAAAATACATTTTTGTTGCTTTAAGTGGCTGCAGCCTGAGCATAGTAACACCTGGGCCATTGCAGCTGCCCTATGCATGATGATTCAGAGGCCTGAGGTGTCCTGATCCTGAGCTCTACACCCCAAGACAGTGCTTCTGAAGCTAATGGTGCCAAATCCAGAAACCACAGACTGACCGGTTATTTGGTGCTTACACACCCCACGTCTGTCCTAGATACCCTGGAGACACAGCATCAGGCTTCCTCCCCAGCAAATCTCAGTGGAGGGTGTGAAATTGGAGGCTTCTTGGCCAACTGGTCTGAGGTTGAGTTGAGCTCCTACCTTTCTCTCAACAATCTCTGGCTGGGGGAAGTTTTTCCTGGGAAATCCTCACTCACATGTGGATTTGTGGAGGCTATGCCCACCCAGACCCTCTGTTCTGACATTTTGTTCAAGAGGGCCACATTGTTCTTATAAGGCTCATAGCCACGCCGCCCTCTCCCCCAAGTCCCACCTGTTCCCAGCAGCCCTAACTCGAGTCCTTTTGTGGACAAAGAGGAACAGAGAGTAACGAGACACTGTGCTGAGCACTTTCCAGGCACGATCGCATCTCACCTTTACTGCCTCCCTGAGCGGAAGGCATCACCCTCTCTCAATCTGCCAGATGGCGAAACTGAAGCACAGACAGGTCAGGAACCTGCCCCAAGCTCACACGGCTCACGAGTGAGGGGAATGCATTTGCTCTTGAGTTTCTAAGGCCTGTGCTTTGCTGGTACACAATGCGAGAGAGGTAACCAAATGGCCTTGAACTCCTCTCCCTCCAAGGTAACCACAGGGAAAGGTCCAGCCAGGACCTGGCCGGGTTAGTGCTTGTGACATTTTGTCTCTGGAAGTTTCAGAATCTGTCACTGCAGAGGCTGGCAGGGATGTGCTTTTCACAGGCCACAGTGGCTCATGCCTGTAATCCCAGTGCTTTGGGAGGCCAAGGTGGGAGGATAGCTAGAGGCCAGGAGTTTGAGACCAGCCTGGGCAACAGAGCAAGACCCCATCTCTACAAAGAAAAAAAAAAGTACTGTGCCACTCAAAGAGACCCAAAAGATTACTTCCAGCTCCACAATGAGGCAAACACAGAAAGTGAGAGTAAGCGTTCAGGAGCACCCACACACATTTAACAGACCAATGCTATGTTGCAAGAATCTAGTCATAAAAAAGAAACGAGCTTATATTTTCTATGGTTTTTTAATACAAAAATTTCAATTTCTCATCACATACTAGAGCCCACTGCAAATAAACACCTGGGTCCTGGCCGGGCGCGGTGGCTCACACCTGTAATCCCAGCACTTTGGGAGGCCGAGCCGGGTGGATCACGGGGTCAGGAATTCAAGACCAGCCTGGCCAAGATGGTGAAACCCCATCTCTACTAGAAATACAAAAATTAGCTGGGCCTGGTGGCATGTGCCTGTAATCTCAGCTACTCAGGAGGCTGAGGCAGAGAACTGCTTAAACCCGGGAGGCGGAGGTTGCAATGAGCCAAGATTACGCCACTGCACTCCAGCCTGGGCGACAGAGCGAGATCTCCGTCTCAAAAAAAAAAACAAACCTGGGTCCTTACCACTGATAGTTTGAGAAGCCCTGCTGAGACAGCGGTCTCAGTCACTGACTAAGGATAAAATGACATGGAAAAAGCTGGAGCCCGGGAAATGCAGGGATTCTCTCCAGCTGCAAGGGCCACGCGGGGGATGTCCAGCCACCAACGTGAGCCCCTCAGCTGCCAACGGCACCCTTAGTAAGGGGCTTTCTGGAATAGTCAAATGGATAGTGCCCTGGAAGTTGAGAATTTGGCTTTTAGTCTCAGGTTTGGGTTTTTTGTTTATTTTTGAGACGGGATCTGGCTGTGTCACTCAGGCTGGAGTGCAGTGGCACGGTCTTGGCTCACTGCAGCCTCAACCTCCCATGGCCCTGGTTTAGTGGTGTGACCTTGTGCCAATCATTTAATCCTCTGTCCGCTGATTTTCTCATCTGTAAGCTGGAGATCATAATACTGGTGCCTGCCTCATAGGGTTATTCTGTGGAATAAACGTGTTAATTTGTGAGCGTTCAGAGCAGTGCCTGAGTGCTATGTATGTGTTCACTATTATTACAATTAGGTAGAAGTCATTTTTCCTTCTTAAGCCTGTATTCTACTGAAATAGTTTTTAAACTACTTTTTTGGGATATTCCTTTGTGGAGGAGGTGTTTCAAGACTTCCGTAAGCATCTGACTTACATTTAATTTTTTTTTTTTTTTTTGAGACACATTCTCGCTCTAGTGCACAGGCTGGAGTGCAATGGTGTGATCTCAGCTCACAGCAACCTCTGCCTCCCGGGTTCAAGCAATTCTCCTGCCTCAGCCTCCTGAGCAGCTGGGAGTACAAGCGCACGCCACCACACCCGGCTAATTTTTGTATTTTTAGGAGAGATGGGGTTTTGCCATGTTGGCCAGAATGGTCTCAAACTCCTGAACTCAAGTGATCCACCTGCCTCGGCCTCCCAAAATGCTGGGATTACAGGCGTGAGCCACTGTGCCCGGGCTGTTCCAACTGTTTACCACAAAACTAGGCCTGCAGCTCTGGCCATTCATTTCTCAATTATCTGGGGAGAAATAGGGACGAGGCTGGGGATATAGGAGAAGGACCTCCTGACGGGACAGCAGGAAACCAGCCTGCCATTAACCACCCAGTGACCTCGGGCAAGTGCATGAACCTCCCAGCCCCTGAGGGTATGGGGCTCTGCCACCCTCTGTATCTTGAAGCAGGTGCTTTTGACAGCAGCGCCTCCTGTCCTTTAGATGAGTGGTCCCCGACCTTTCTGGTACCAGGGACCAGTATCATGGAAGACAATTTTTCCGTTGTCCTGGTGTGGGGGAAGGTTTCAGGATGATTCAAGCACACTACATGTATCGTTCACCTTATTTCTATTATCATTACATTGTAATATATAATGAAATAATTCTAGGCCGGGTGTGGTGGCTCACGCCTGTAATCCCACCACTTTGGGAGGCTGAGGTGGGTGGATCACTTGAGGTCAGGCGTTCAAGACCAGCCTAACCAACAAGGAGAAACCCCATCTCTGCTAAAAATACAAAATTAGCCGGGCATGGTGGCCCATGCCTGTAATCCCAGTTACTTGGGAGGCTGAGGCAGGAGAATCGCTTGAACCTGGGAGGCGGAGGTTGGTGTGAGCCGAGATTGAGCCATTACACTCCAGCCTAGGCAACAAGAGTGAAACTCTGTCTCAAAAAGAAAAAAAAGAAAAGAAATAATTCTACAACTCACCATAATGTAGAATCAGTGGGAACCCTTAGCTTGTTTTCCTGCAACTAGATGGTCCCATGCAGGGGTGACGGGAGACAGTGACAGATCATCAAGCATTAGATTCTCATAAGAAGCGTGCAACCTAGATCCCTGGCTGCGCAGTTCACAGTAGGGTTTGTGCTGCTGCTGATTTGAGAGGAGGCGGAGCTCAGGCTGTAATGTGAACGATGGGGAGCAGCTGTAAACACAGATGAAGCTTTGCTTGCTCGCCCGCCACTCACCTCTGGCTGTGTGGGCCTGATTCCTAACAGGCCACTGGCCAGTACCAGTCCATGGCCCAGGTGTTGGTGACCCCCGCTTTAGATAACCAAACAAGCAGCCAGGCCCTGACATAGACTCATGTAGAACCCCACCCTCTTCCCACTCCATTTTCGAGGCCATCCTGGTAATAAGAAAGTAACCAAAAGACAGCAAAGAGAAGGAAGAGGGCCTGCATGAGGATCTCACCCCAAGACCGGGCTAACTGTGGTTTTGGGCTCCTGTCCTTTGCCTGGGAAACCTGAGCGTGTCTTTGCAGTTGCTCCCATCCACAGGCCTCTGTCCGACTGGCTTTCATCCCAGCCCACTTAACTTTCCTGCCCAAGAGATACCTGTGGTTTCCACCAGCCGCATGCTACTCCCCCGCCTGAAATGCTCCTACTCCTTCCTGCCCTCGGGGACCAACCAGACCCAGCCTGAAGGCCCAGCTCAGTCCCTCCTGCTTCCCTGCCTCCCTTATCTCCTTATTGTTTATGGCCCTGTTTCACTCCTGCCCCTGTGCTATCCCACAGACCTGACATTTGCACAGCATTCATGGTTGACAGGGCATGTTCACTGAACCCTCAAAATACATTGATCTGTCAGCTTCTAAAACAAATCACCAGCTCTGGTATCTTAGGGCTACTGTAACAAAACGCCATACATTGGGTGGCTTCTCAACACAGAAATCGAATCGTTCTGGAGGCTGGAGATCCAAGAAGTCCAAGATCAAGGCAGATTTGGTGTCTGGTGAGGGTGTGCCTTCTGCTTCATAGACAGTGCCTTTATGCCGTGTCCTCACAGGGTGGAAGGGGTGAGAGGGTTCCCTTGGGCCTCTTTTATAAGGGCACCAATTCCATTCACGAAGACTCCACCCTTGGGACCTAATCACTTCCCAAAGGCCGATCTCCTAATACCATCACCTCAGGGGTTAAGATTTTAACACAGAAATTTTGAAGGCACACAAACATTCAGACCACACATCCAGGGAGCTGAGTGGGATTTGTGCCCCCACCTGCCTGCCTAGTGTCACTGGATAGCTGCCTACAGTGGAGGGCTGGCAAGGGACTATTGTGCACTTTATGTACACACACCACCTCCTGTGAGCTTGGCATAACACCCGTGAGGTGGGTGGTGGCTTCTTTTTTAGAAACTTCAAAAGTGAAGCTCACTTTCAGTCTGGGCTCAGACTTGACATCTGGTATACCAAACTGTCTTACAAAGAAATAAGCAGAAGCTGATCACATGCTGAAGCTCAGGGCCAATGCAGAGCCCATAAGAGTCAGAGATAGGTCCAGCCCTGTCTATACGATGCCAAAGCCCCTCTCTCCCACCTCAGTTTCAGCCAGGCCTTGCCAGTCCACCCTTCTCCCTCCTCTGTCACCCCTGCCCTTGCCCCTCAGTGGTTGAGGCTCTACAAAGCCCCCTGGCAGTCAGGGAACACGGAACCCTAGAATCCTGAGAGGAGGGTCTGGACAAGGCAAATCAGTTCTCTACCTGGGAGTCACACAAGACCTCCTCTCCACGTAGAGAGCAAATCAGAGGCGGGGCTGTTGGGTACCAAGGGGGCATCTGTCCACTAGGAAATGTGCAGGGGCATCACTTTTGTTTAGGGTTGGATTTGGGTTGGTCGGCACAGTGGCTTGGATCCAGAGCCACTCGGATATTTGATGGCGTTGAGGATAGCCCTGCCAAACACCCTGCACCAAGCAAGTCAGTCCTGTAGAAGGAAGGTCTGCCCACGCTGCTAGTACGTCCCTGTGAGGAATCACTGAGTCCCATCAGCTAGCTTTTCCTTTAGTATCCTCTCCTTATTGTTTATCATCTTGACATTGGCCCAAAGGGCTCAGTCCAGCACTCTGGACTCCACTGCCTGCTCTCAGGCTGCTGGAGGAGACCGGCATCCAGAAACACGTGACCGAGCCTCTGTGCACTCGGGACTTTTAATCTCCTTAATTGAAACTGGCCTCTTGGGAGGCAGATCTGCATTGGCCCTGAGCTTCAGCATGTCATCAACTTTTGCTTATTTCTTTTAAAGATCAATTGACACACCATAGTATCCAATCTTCTCCCTGAATATCGGACCTATTTGCCAACCAGAAGCAAAACCAGAAACACACACACTTAGAAAAACAGCTCAGGAAACAAAAGTGCCTGATAAAAATATGGAGGGAAACATTCTGTCTCATGGTGACTTAGCGTTATACAAAAGGCCAGTCAAAACTCCATTACCAAGGAAAGATGTAATCACATGGGAAAGGAGAGATGGGAGAGGTTGGGGGAAGAGTAAGCTGCCTGAAGCTCACAAGATAAATAAGCTGGGCTGGAGAATATCTAAGAACCAGCTGCAAAAAAAAGATAAAAAGGGAAGAAAAGTGAAACATCTTTTTTTGTTTGTTTGTTTGTTTTTTGAGACAGAGTCTCACTCTGTTGCCCAGGCTGGAGTGCAATGGTGCGATGATCTTGGCTCACTGCAACCTCCATCTCCTGGGCTCAAGCAATTTTCCTGCCTCAGCCTCCCAAGTAGCTGGGATTACAGGCATGCGCCACCACGCCCAGCTAATTTTTGTATTTGTAGTACAGATGGGGTTTCACCATGTTGCCTAGGCTGGTCTTGAACTCCTGGCCTCAAGTGATCCGCCCACCTCAGTCTCCCAAAGTGCTGGGATTATAGGCGTGAACCACATTCCCAGACAAAATATCTTTTTAAATTGAAAGAAAACCAACATCAAGAGATTCGTTTGAGTGTCCAGATTTGTGTTCATCCAGATATACCACGATCACTCCGAAGCAGCTAGAGCTGGTTTACAAACCAGCTTGGCAGGTCATATCTCTTGGCAAAGCCTCTGATAAGGGCCCCTTACCTACCAGACTGATCGTATATCCTGGACATATCTCTCTGGGGCTCTCCTGTGCAATGCTGGTGGGTCATTTCACCAACTGGGCACTGGGCTTTGAAAGAACAGTCCTAGTTGGGGTGGCGCCACCTTGTGACTTCCAAGCTCTTGGTTCTGTTTCTGCACCAGCTGCATGGGATTAACACCAGGGCAAAAGAAGCAAGAGGCAGGACCTTAGAGGCAAGAAAGCCCAGCACTGACAAGTCAATTAATCACTACTGTGCATGTCAAACTCAGTGCAAACACCTTGCTTCCTGTTCTTCTGAAGATCAAGTCCAGAGTCCAGATTTTAAAAGCACAAACATCCAGCTGTTTTGCTGTTGGAAAGTTCCACTTACAAATCAATTCAAGGAGAAAGTACTTCTTAGTCTCCATGTTCCCTACATAGAGGAAAAAAAACATTTTGTCTACCCTCCTATGTTCAGTTACTGAAGCCTGCAAATTAAATGGATAAAAGCCAGATTAACAAGAGAAATATATAATAATTTTATTTGATGCTAATATTTTTTCTTACACAGGAGGCCTCACAGAAAATAAGACCCCAGGCTGGGCACGGTGGCTCTTGCCTGTAATCCCAGCAATTTGGGAGGCTGAGGCGGGTGGACCACTTGAGGGCAGTTGTTCAAGACTAGCCTGGCCAACATGGTGAAACCCTGTCTCTACTAAAAATACAAAAATTAGCTGGGTGTGGTGATGTGCACCTGTAAGTCCCAGCTACTTGACTTGGGAAGCTAAGGTAGGAGAATCACTTGAACCTGGGAAGCAGAGGTTGCAGTGAGCTGAGATTGTGCCACGGCACTCCAGCCTGGGCAATAGAGTGAGACTCTATCTCAAAAGACAAAAAAGAAGAAGACCCCAAAAAAGTAGTCAGACTCAGGGGTTTATATACCATTTTAACAAAGGGTGATAAATTGTGAAGTGACTAGACAAAGGAAAGCAGATCATTTAGGCTTCTAGGAGTGGTAAATTGTGGAAAGATAACTAAGAAATGTACAGTAGATAAGGGATGAATAGTTGGATTTGTTAGGCAGACTCACCTTGGTAATGTCTCCAGTGATAAGTCATCTCCAGTGATTAACAGTTATTCTCCTCTTCTGGTATTGGAGAGAGGCACCACTTCACAATTCCTTTACAAGTGGAAATTTATGTTACCTTTACAAAGGGAAACGTGGCCTGCTTTTAGGCAGAAAGAAGAAGGACAGAGAGCTTTTCCTGTGGCTGTATTTTCCCAATTGCCTTCAGCTCAAAATAATCCTTAAACCAAAGTGGCATATTCTGGGCCCCTTCACCTAGCAGCAGGAAAGTGACGTAATGATGAAGGAGAGGGTGAACGCTGTAAAGACAAGGGCTGTAACATCATCCATCATCACTAAACCAGGGTCTAAGGGTGCTGAACATATAGTAGGCACTCAATAAATATATGTTGAATGAATAAATAAATCAGTGGCTGGCTGGCTGGCTGGATGGATGGATGAATATTGGATAAAATAGGATTGGAGCAACTACATAGTGTGGAAAAGAAAATTGCAGCTTATCGAATGCTGGCTCCCATAAAATACCACCAAGGCAACATGTTGATAAAGCAAAGCTCATGGCAGTAAGAAAAAGCACTACCCTGGTGGTCATAACAATGTCTGAGTGGGACAGATAAATTCAGAGTGTTTATGATGTTTAAGAGTCTGGTTTAAGGAAGGTCTTTCAGTGTGGGGAAGTCTAAGATTGAATAGGATCATGATATAATCCAAGATCATGGAGATAGCAAGGTGAGTTAACAGTCATTTGTTGCAATCTACCAAAGTTAGGCAGTTTTAAGTAAGTTCAGGGGAAATTCCTAAAACAAACACTAAAGTTACTTGCAATCTTTAGCTTTCTGGGCAAGTGTTTCCTGCCACAGTGAAATCATGTTGGTTGATACAGTTTGGATCTGTGTCCCCGCCCAAATCTCATGTCGAACCATAATCCCCAATGTTGGAAGTGGGTCCCAATGGGAGGTGATTGGATCATGGGAGTGGATCCTTCATGAATGGCTTAGCACCTTCCCCTCCATGCTGTTCTCATGATGGTGAGTGAATTCTCATGAGATCTGGTTGTTTGAAAGTGTCTGGCAGCTCCCCCACCACATCCTCCTGGTCCAGCCATGTAAGACGTGCCTGCTTCTCCTTCACCTTCCATCATGATTGTAAGTTTCCTGAGGCCTCCCCAGAAGCAGAAGCCACTATGCTTCCTGTACAGCCTGTGGAACCGTGAACCAATTAAACTTCTTTGCTTTATAAGTTGCCCCATCTCAGGCATTTCTTTATAGCAATGTGAGAACAGACAAATAGATTGGTAAAGACAGTGGAATAGTAAAGTCATGTTACGAAGACCACATGGTAGTAGTCATATAATGCAGACATAAGCAAGCTTATGTGGGTTTCGGTGGTTTCAGTCCTCAAGCTAATGGTCTTAAGTAAACTCTTCTTCCACAGTGTGGCACATACAGACAAGTAAACCACGTTTGTCCACAGGAAGACCAGCAGACCTTAAGTGGGCCCCAAGATAGAGGTGATGGTTAATTTCTGGTCATCGAGGCTGAGCCATATAAAGGAGAGGTAATTCAGGAGGCCAGGCACAGTGGCTCACACCTGTAATCCCAGCACTTTGGGAGGCCGAGGCAGGCAGATCACCTGAGGTCGGGAGTTCGAGACCAGCCTGACCAACATGGAGAAACCCCAACTCTACTAAAAATACAAAAAAATTAGCTGGGTGTGGTGGCACACGCCTGTGATCCCAGCTACTCGGGAGGCTGAGACAGGAGAATCACTTGAACCCAGGAGGCAGAGGTTGCAGTGAGCCAAGATCACACCATTGCACTCCAGCCTGGGCGACAAGAGGGAAACTCTGTCTCAAAAAAACAAAAAGAAAAGAAAAGAAAAGAATTGAAAACAAGGACTGAAATACATACCTGTATGCCAATGTTCATAGCAGCACCATTCACAACAGCCAAGAGGTGGAAATAACTCTAGTGTTTATCAACAGATAAATGGATAAATGGTATATCCATATGATGGGAGCTTTTTCAGCCATAAAAAGGAATGACATTCTGACACATGCTGCAATATGGATGAACCTCAAAAACATTATGCCAAGAGAAATAAGCTCAACACAAAAGAACAAATATTGCATGATTCCACTTCTATTAAATACCCAGAATAGGCAAATTCATAGAGACAAAGTACTTTAGAGGACACCAGGGACTGAGGGGAGGGGAAATGGGGAGTCACTGCTTAATGGGTACAGAGTTTCTATTTGGAGCAACAAAAAGTTTTTGAAATAGATAGTGGTGATGGTTGCACAACATTATGAGTGGAATCGATGCCACTGAATTGTACACTTAGACATAGTGAAAATAGCCAGGTATGGTGACCTGTTATCCCGGCACTTTGGGGGCCTGAGGCAGGCAGATCACGTGAGCCCAGGAGTTTGAGACCAGCCTGGGCAACATGGCGAAACCTCATCTCTACAAAAAAAAAAAAAAAAAAAAAAGCTGAGTGTGGTGGCACACGCCTGTAGTCCCAGCTACCCAGGAGGTAGAGGTGGTAGGATTACCTGAGCCCAGGAAGTTGAGGCTGCAGTGAACCGTGATCACGCCACTGCACTCCAGCCTGGGTGACAGTGTAAGACCCTGTCTCAGAAAAAAGACAGTCTCACAATTAAAATAAAATGTCTCACAAATAAAAATTAAAGCGCACACACACACATACACATATAAAACTGCGTGTGTGTGCATGCTTTCTTGTTAATTGTGGCAAATCACTATATTATATATATTTTATCACAATTTTTTTAAGTTGTAAAATAAGAAAAATGAAAAATTCCAAGATGGCAGCAGCATAGCATTAACCAAGTCCAGGGTCCTTCTGAGCATGAGCTCTGTGTGAAGCCAGCCCTGCTGAGAGGACGCAGAGCCCAAATCTAGGTGTCATTCCAGCTCCTGGAGACCGAGAGTGAAAGAAAGTGCCTCACTGGGCACTACTTCTGGACTCCAGAATCTACTCAGTGATCAACGAGGATGATCAGGTGGCTCACGCCTGCGGTCCCAGCACTTTGGGAGGCCAAGGCAGATGCATCGCTTGAGGTCAGGAGTTCAATACCAGCCTGGTCAACATGGTGAAACCCTGTCTCTACTAAAAATTAAAAAATTAGCAAGACATGGTGGTGCACGCCTGTAATTCCAGCTACTCATGAGGCTGAGGCAGGAGAATCACTTGAACCCAGAAGGCAGAGGTTGCAGTGAGCCGAGACTGTGCCACTGCACTCCAGCCTGGGCGACAAGAGTGAGACTCCATCTCAAAACAAACAAACAAACAACAACAACAACAACAAAAAAAACATATATTAGTACCAATGAGAGGTGGAGAAGGGAATGAAAAGGTGGGCAAGGCATAGCTTTGTCCCAAGAAACCTAATAAAAATCAGATTGCTTGCCACCTTGGCCACTCGCATCTTTGGTGATCAATCCTTGATCTGGGCTTTACTGAGCAAAAAGAGTGCCCTCGTGGCAAGCCAAACCAAACCAGTGACCTCAAGATGAGCTTCCAGAGCCTGGAGGCTACCTCTTGCTTGCAGCAAAAATATACACGTTCACTCACGGCCTTCAGCTCTTTCACCTCTGGGTGATCACTCAACGGGAGGGTGGGGACTCTGCCTGCTGCCAGAGACCAGATCCCAAACCAAACATCCCCCATTAAAGTTATAAGAAACAGTTCTCTGGCTCCAACCCTGTCTACCATTTGAGTGCCTCAGCCACCCAAAAGCTTCTCTCACCATTTCTGGGACATTTCATGGGTATTTGTGATTCTCTCAGCAACCCCATAGTACGCAAAACTTCCTCCAATTCTAACACTGGTTTTCCACAAGGATAGGCGCTGCCTCCACCTCTGAAAGCCTGGAAGCCCCAGGAAGGTGCCTCACCCCAGTCCTGCCTCCTACGCACATGCCTGTGGCCAAGCAGGACGTCAATCCAGCCCCTGTGCTATGCTCTTCCTCCCTAAAGAGGAGAGAAGCCTGAATCACCCCCAGCGCCCCAGCATGGGGCCATGGTGTAGGTTCTCAGGTACTCCTAAGATCCTGAGGAAGGTCTGGGAGGACGATGTGTGGCCTTGCTGGGCTAAAAGTTGCCTTTCGGGGTTGGTGCCAGGCCTGGGATCTGCCCCAACAGCCCTCCAGGCAAATCCGGATGGGGCCTGAATCCTGGAGATTTCAGTTTGATCTGCAGCTCCTGACACACCAGAAGTGCAGGGCCCAGGCTGCTGCAGCCAAAACATCACAATACACCTTCAGTCCCAATCCCTTCTCCTCTAACGCACTAGGACTACCGATATCACAAGCACGAGCCTGGCTTGAGAGACGGGAGCATAAAACAGCACAATGTTCCAGTTACCGCCTTTTGGGGGTTTTGAGTGAAACCACTCTTCTTTTAATACGGTAGTGAACAGATCAGCTTTTTCAAATTTTTTTTTTAACCGTTAGATATTAACCTTTGGAAAATGTGCTGAAATAGTGCCCCCTAACGGGGGTCCTTCACCACCACACTCTGCTTTCACGTTGCCACCCATCTGTTACAGGAAAAGGACCCTGATCCAGACCCCAAGAGGGGTTCTTGGATCTCACCTAAGAAAGAACTCAGGGTGAGTCCATAGAGTAAAGTGAAAGTTTATTAAGAAAGTAAAGAATCAGGCACAGTGGCTCACGCCTGTAATCCCAGCACTTTGGGAGGCCGAGGCAGGCGGATCATGAGGTCAGAAATTCGAGACGAGCCTGACCACAAGGTCTGGACTTCGAGAGCTGCCTGGTCAATATGGTAAAACGCCATCTCTACTAAAAATGCAAATATTAGCCAGGCGTGGTGGCGCTTGCCTTTAGTCCCAGCTACTCGGGAGGCTGAGGCAAAAGAATTGCTTGAACCTGGAGGCGGCGGTTGCAGTGAGCAGAGATCGTGCCACTGCACTCCAGCTCGGGCGACAGAGTGAGACTCCATCTAAAAAAAATAAATAAATAAATAAATAAAGTAAAGGAATGAAGAATGGCTACTCCATAGACAGAGCAGCCCCCGGGGGCTGCTGGTTGCCCATTTTTATGGTTCTTTCTGGATGATATGCTAAACAACGGGTGGATTATTCACGCCTCCCCTTTTTAGACCATATAGGGTAACTTCCTGACGTTGCCATGGCATCTGTAAACTGTCACAGCGCTGGTGGGAGTGTAGCAGTGTGGACCACCAGAGAACACTCTTGTCGCCATCTTGGTTTTGGTGGGTTTTGGCCGGCTTCTCTACTGCAACCTGTTTTATTAGCAAGGTCTTTACGACCTGTATCTTGTGCTGACCTCCTATCTCATCCTGTGACTTAGAATGCCTTAACCATCTGGGAATGCAACCCAATAGGTCTCAGCCTCATTTTACCCAGCCCCTATCCATTCCTGAGAGCTTCCTTTGCCAAAAATGTGCCTTTAACAATAAGAGCTAACATTTACTTAACACGTTCTTAATCTGAGGCTGGGTCGCATGATCTCATTTCATTCTTACAACAACCCTGTAAGAGAAATATTATCTCTCCCTTGCAAAACAGAGAGCATGTTCAGGAAGGTTAAGTGACTTCCCCAACATCACAGGCTAGTTTGTGGGGCTAAGATTCTTCCTTATCCACATGCTGTCAGGATCCAGACGAGACGTTTATCCTCCTATACCCGGGCTTGAATTCCAAGGAACCACTGGGCAGCCTTCACATGTACAAATGTAGGCACAGTGAGCTGATTTGTAATAATAACAGCCAATATCTGAGTACCTACCAAGTGCCAGGCAATATACATAGAGTCTTTCATTTAACAACTCAAATGTGTATATATATATATATATATATATACTTTCTCTTTTTTTCAGATGGCGGAGTCTTGCTCTGTCACCCAAGCTGGAGTGCAGTGGCGTGATCTCAGCTCACTGCAACCTCTGCCTCCTGGGTTCAAGAGATTCTCCTGTCTCAACCTCCTGAGTAACTGGGATTACAGGCACGCACCAATACACCCGGCTAATTTTTGTTTTTGTTTGAGACAGAGTTTCGCTCTTGTTGCCCAGGCTGGAGTGCAATGGTGTGATCTTGGCTCACCACAACTTTTGCCTCCCGGGTTCAAGCGATTCTCCTGCCTCAGCGTCCCGATTAGCTGGAATCACAGGCGTGTACCACCATGCCCGGAAATTTGTTTTGTATTTTTAGTAGAGACAGTTTCTCCATGTTGGTCAGGCTAGTCTCGAACTCCCGACCTCAGGTGATCCACCTGCCTCAGCCTCCCAAAGTGCTGGGATTACAAGCATAAGCCAGCCACTGTGCCTGGCAACAAGATATATATTTATCCCCATTTTACAGATGAGGCTCCTGGAGCTCAGAGTTTGAGCAACATCCCTGACTATGAGGAGTCATTGACAACTTGGGCTCTGGAGCCCAACTGCTTAGTTCAAATCCACCTCCCCTACTTACTAGCTGTATGACCTCGGACAAGTTAGTTGACTTCTCTGTGCCTTCATTTCCCCATCTGTACAACAAATGACAGTACCTATCTCATAGGATTACTATGAGAATTCAATGAGTGCTCAGAACTGTCCCTGTTACCTAGTCAGAGCTCCATAAATAGGCAGGTTGTTGTTATCCTCCTCCAAAGTCCATGCTTTTGCTCCATGAGATGGCTTTGTCGCCCAATCTCTACTGAGAGATTAAGAATATGCTGCACATTAAAATATACAGGTTTCTTTTTACTGCAGTAATGCTAAATGCTTAGATGAAGGAAGAGATCAAAGGTAGTCCAAATTCACCTACATTACAATTCTCCCTGACGTTCTCAGGGCAGTGACGCTAAGCCAAGAGAATGAGCTCCATTTAGACCTCTCTTCCTTCCACCGGCATCTTCCTCCTTTCCCTTCTCACTAGGCTCTCGAGGGTAAGTTCATCTTTTTGGAATTGCAAGGGCAGTTGCTGCAAATGTCTGCACTCACTATGTCTTATTAGGTTAGTCCCTTGTCTGGTACTAGGAGAAAGGTCTGAAGATCTGGAGTTGATTTCTGGCCCAGCTATTTACTGTGTGACCAGCTATAAGTCCCCTAATCCCTGAGCTTCTATTTTGCCATCTGTGTAAAACAACCACCTCCCCAGACTTACATGAGAATCAAATTAATGATGTGTGTTAATACGCAAGATGGGGGCCAGCAAGGTGGCTCACATCTGTAATCCCAGCACTTTGGGAGGCTGAGGCAGGAGGTTCACTTGAGCCTAGGAGTTTGGGACCAGCCTGGGAAACATAGCAAGACCCCGCATCCCCATCTCTACAAAAATAAAAAAATTAGCCAGATGTGGTGGTACACATCTGTAGCCCCAGCTACTTGAGAGGCTGAGGTTGGAGGATCTCTTGAGTCCAGGAGTTCCAGGCTGCAGTGGGCTAATTGCATCACTGCACTCTAGCCTGGGTGACAGAGTCTCACTCTGTCTCAGGAAAAAAAAAAAAAAAATTAACATGTAAGATGGTTTGTAAACCGTAAATTACAGTGCCTGGGAGAAATCAGGTCCCTTTGATTCACCTGGCAGGAAATCTTGCGTCTTCGCTTTCCCAGCCATCACTCTGAGTTGCAGTTGGCTTGCTGAGAACATTCTGTAAGAAGCTGCCTAGATTTCACCTTCCTTGGGGCAGGCTGGGGATGGGAGAGTGTCAGGGAGACTCCTGTGGTAAGCACCTCTCTGCTGAAAGAACTTTTAGCAGTAACAGAGTGTGAAGGAGGAGGCCTAGGTGAGGATGGAGAGGGTGGGGCAGGGAAGAACCCTACCAGTGAAATTGGTTTAGAACAGCCCAGTGCCCATGGGGGTAGATTGGGGAATACATGAGATGCCTTGCTAAGTCTGGAACAAGCTTCTCAGGAAGGGGAAACTGACCCTGCTCTAGGGAGATTGGAAAGCTCTTAGGGATAGGGTTAAGTGAAAGCATTTCTTTTTTGACACTGAATCTTCCAACTTAGGTGAAGGATAAATGTCAAAAAAGAGATAAATGTCATGCATCACTCTGGAAATGCCCAATCCACCTACTCCAGAGTACTGATCAGGGACTTAAGAATGGAAAAATTTGGCATTTGATGACTTGTCACAAGAACTATGGACCCTGCCCGAGTTACTGTCAATGGTGAAATCAGTGACGACACATCTGGGCTCCCTGTTAACACCAAGTGTGTATGTAACAATGGACATGTGGACAGAAATAATTGGGTATGTGAGGGCACCTCACCCAGTAAAGGCTTGGCGGACAGTGATGAGAAGGCAGAGCTAAGCAGGCGGAGAGAAATGGCAGCCCAGGACAGCAAGAAGATGGAGGAGCCTGAGGAACAAGCTGTCCCTGAGAGAGAACCCACAGTGTGCCCCTCACCATGCCTTCCACAAAGCCACGATTATGCTCCTTCCAAATTTAATTGCCTCCTTTCAAAAACTCACCATACCCAAAGAGTCCATAAAACCTCTTGCCAGCCAGGCGCGGTGGCTCACGCCTGTAATCCCAGCACTTTGGGAGGCCGAGGCGGGCGGATCACGAGGTCGGGAGATCGAGACCATCCTGGTTAACACGGTGAAACCCCGTCTCTACTAAAAATACAAAAAATTAGCCAGGCGCGGTGGCGGGCACCTTTAATCCCAGCTACTCGGGAGGCTGAGGCAGGAGAATGGCGTGAACCCGGGAGGCAGAGCTTGCAGTGAGCCGAGATCATGCCACTGCACTCTGGCTTGGGCAAAAAGTAAGACTCTGTCTCAAAAAAAAAAAAACCTCTTGCCAATCCTGCTGTCAGATGTGACTATTGCCACACAAAGAACAGAAAAGCTACAGAACTGTTCTTGTTCCTTTTTTTTTTAGAGACAGGATCTCACTCTGTCACCCAGGCTGGAATGCAGTGGTGTGATTGTAGTGAAGCGGTGTCGTTGTCTGGGGTAAATACCCAAGTTTGGTTGTTTCACACTAAGGGAATTGAGAACGTGGACACACAAGAAGTGGGTTTAGGAGCAGAGGTTTAATAGGCAAAAGAAAGAGAGAGGATAATAGCTCTCTCTCCTGTGAAGGCCAAAGATTGGTTGGATCAGGTGTGGCGTTTACATAGTGCACAAAGAAGCTGGCTACCCCACCCTAATCTTTTTAATATGCAAATGGATTTTCTACTTGGCCGGTGCCATGTTGTCTGCTCCTTACTGTACACGTGGTTGGCAAGGAAAGGGAAGGTGGAGCCTCCATGTTGAACATGCCTAGCCCCAGGTAGCCTTTCCCTATTGGCACAGCTGCTGGCATTCACCCGTGCAAGCTTCCAGCTTGCTTATCTATGTCTGCAGCTCGATATTACAGGCTGATCTTTGCTAGAAAAGAAATAATTTGGGGGCTGCTTTTCAGTAAAAGGAAATCTTTTAAAACCTTACCAAGGATTTCCTTACCCTCACTAGCTACCTACATAATTTCTTTTTAACTCCTATATCAATAGCTTAATGCAGCCTTGAGCTCCTGTGCTCAAGCAACCCACCTACTCAGCTTCCCAAGTAGCTGGGACTACAGGCATGCACCGCCATGCCCGGCTAAATTTTTTTTTTTCTTTAGAAATGGGGCCTAGCTATGTTGCCCAGGCTGGTCTTCCTGCAGCTTTGACCTCCTGGCCTCAAGCAGTCCTCCCAAAGTTGGGGGATTATTGGCATGAGTCACCACACTCTACTCACAGCTGTTCATAAAACTTAAGATGATAAGCAGTTTTAATGCCCAGAATTTAACTACATGGAGTATGTTCCCAGCTTCCTGTAGTTTCTAATCTCTGGGTAACACACGTCTCCCATTTTTGCTCTCCCAGTCCTTCCACCAGCTTTATAACTTAATTTCCTGCATTCAAGCTGTCTCTGTTTGAAATATCTAAGGTGATTTCTGCTTTTTTCTACCAAACACTTACTGATAAACCCTTTTTCCATTTCTTTTCCTTTGTAGATTTGTGTAAATACCCAGGGTTTTATTATTCAGGTGCCTGTCCTTTCTCCTTTTTGCTGAGTTCTTCAATGTGACCTTGCTAATTTTTTTTTTTTTTTTTGAGACGGAATCTCACTCTGTCACCTAGGCTGGCATGCAGTGGCATGATGTCGGTTCACTGCAACCTCTGCCTCTCGGGTTCAAGGGATTCTCGTGTCTCAGCCTCCCAAGTAACTGGGACTACATGCACTAGCCACCATGCCCACCCATATTTTTGAATTTTTAGTAGAGACGGGGTTTTGCCATGTTGACCAGGCTGGTCTCAAACTCCTGACCTCAGGTGATCCTCCTGTCTTGGCCTCCCAAAGTGCTGGCATTACAGGCATGAGCCACTGCACCCGGCACTTTCTGGTTTTAATTTGTTGGTTATCATCATTTCTTCCCACCACCCACTCAACATTGACAGGTGAGAGTCGACGCTTGCCTTTCATTGCGCTCCTCTGCTCTTAGATCCCTGTTACATTAAACTGCAAAGCAGCTAAAGCACTGGACAACCCAAGCCCTTCTCTGGGACACTGCCACCTGGGAGCATCACTGAACATTTTCTTCCACTGAGTCATTAGAAACAGGATCTGCAGGCCAAGTGCGGTGGCTTATGCCTGTAATCCCAGCACTTTGGGAGGCTGAAGCCAGCATATCCCTTGAGGTCAGGAGTTCAAGACCAGCCTGACCAACATGGCAAAACCCCATCTCTACAAAAATACAAAAAAATTAGCCGAGCGTGGTGGCACACGCCTGTAATCCCAGCTCCTCAGGAGGCTGAGACAGGAAAATCACTTGAACCCAGGAGGCGGAGGTTGCAGTGAGCCAAGATCGTGCCATTGCACTCCAGCCTGGGCAACAGAGTGAGACTTCATTTAAAAAAAAAAAAAAAACAAAAAAAAAACAAGATCTGTCACAGGGGGGCTCTGCCCCTGTTGAAGGGAACTATGCATAACTAATGAACAGGAAAGTTAGTAGCAAAATGGCCTGATCCTTCTCAACATGCTTCGAATAACTTCCAAATTCCCCAGTCTAGATTTCCTTATATATCTTCTTTCCTTCCTAAATGATTACTCTAAACCGTCAAACCCAGACATTTTTGAGTGTATATTTGCTCTTCCTTTCCTCCCCATCATATGGAACTTCTCTCTGCTGAGGATTAACCCAGCTTCTCGGTCACACTGACACACTTGATTTTTTTTTTTTTTTTTTAGATAGGGTCTCACTCTGTCACCCAGGCTGGAGTGCAGTGGCGTGATCTCGGCTCACTGCAACCTCCGCCTCCCGGGTTCAAGCGATTCTCCTGCCTCAGCCTCCTGAGTAGCTGGGATTACAGGTGTATACCACCACACATGGCTAATTTTTGTATTTTTCGTAGAGACAGGGTTTCACCACGTTGCCCATGCTGGTTTCAAACTCTTGGACTCAAGTGATCCACCCGCCTCGGCCTCTCAAAGTGCTAGGATTACAGGCGTGAGCCACTGCGCCCGACCCACTGTACACATTTGAAATAAGAGCTGGCTTGGTCTTTAGTTGTGGATGCTGAGACGTCAGAGGTACCCAACAATCCGGCAGATTTAAAACTAGACTTTATCTTGTAGCATTGCAAATACCACATGGGATAGACACCAGATCTCTGCTTCAAAGCTGAGGTAAATAGTAAACTTCAGAAGAGTTTACTACTTGTCCAAAGTCACAAAGAGGGTAGGAGGCAGAGCCAGGTCCTGAACCCAGGTCTTTCCATTGCCACAGCTCCTGCCAAGCACTGCAGTCAACCGAGGAAAACATAAACGAAAGCAGTGGATCTTAAATTCCAGCAAAACGCTATCGCTCCCCTGTCAACCTGCCGGACTTCTTGAACAAACATTTCATTTGGGCATTTTTCAGCAACTAGAATGTTTATCAGGAGAACTTCCAGTTCAGAAGGGCCTTCCAGAGTTAATGTCTCCTGAACCATTCATGCATGTGGAATACAATTACACCAACAAGGAGGGTGGTGTGGCAGGCAACACAGGGCATAGACGCCAGGAGACGGAGAGTAGGGAGGTCATTAGTTTCATCTTTATACACCTATGTTACATCTGCTACAACAAGCTGGATTCTTTTATAACTTGGAAAGCATCTAATAACAAAATTAGGAGCTTGTGGCAAAGATAATATTGTACGTTCACCAAATCCCATTTTATTGTTTTCTTCCTGTGTACACAGGACTATAATTCCCAGCCTTTTTTTTTCTCGTTTTTTTTTTTTTTTTTGAGACAGAGTCTTGCTCTGTCACCCAGGCAGGAGTGCAGTGGCACAATCTCAGCTCACTGCAAGCTCCGCCTCCTGGGTTCACGCCATTCTCCTGCTTCAGCCTCCTCAGTAGCTGGGACTACAGGCATCCGCCACCATGCCTGGCTAATTTTTTTTTTGTATTTTTAGTAGAGATGGTGTTTCACCGTGTTAGCCAGGATGGTCTCGATCCCCTGACCTCATGATCCGCCCGCCTCAGCCTCCCAAAGTGCTGGGATTACATGCGTGAGCCACCACGCCCAGCTGGCTTCCCAGCCTTTTTCGCCCTGAGATTGGGCCACTATAACTGGATTCTGACTAAAGGACAGGGGCAGAAGGGATGTATGCCACTTCCAAGCCTGCCCGTAAAATCTCCCATGTCATCATCCACCCTCTCTCTTCCTGTTCTGTGGCAAATTGTTTTTTGAGAGAGGGTCTCATTCTGTCACCCAGGCTGGAGTGCAGTGTTGTGATCACGGCTCAATGTAGCCTTGATTTCCTGGGCTCCAGCGATCCTCCCACGTCAGACTTCTAAGTAGCTGGGACCACAAGTGTGCACCACCATGCCTGGCTAATTTTATTTGTAGAGATGGGGTCTCACTAGGTTGCCCAGGCTGGTCTCAAACTGCTGGACTCAAGCAATCCTCCCACTTTGGCTTCTCAAAGTGCTGGGAGTACAAGCATCATGAGCCACCACACTTGGTCTGTGGCAAATTCTTGAGGGCACATGATGGAGATGACACCATCACAAGATGGATGGAGCCTAGATTCCTGAACCAATTACTGGAGGAAAGCCACCAAGGAAAGCCACTTGACCTACATCAAACAATAACCTGTTGTATTGATATAAGAGTTAAGAAGAAATTATTTAGGCAGATAGTGAGGATAAGGAAGTCCTTGGTAAGGTTTCCCTTTTAATGAAAAACAGCCCCCAAACCATTTCTTTTCTAACAAAAAGCAGCCTGTAAATTCGAGCTGCAGACATAGATAAGCAAGCTGGAAGCTTGCACGGGTGAATTCCGGCAGCTGTGCCAATAGGAAAAGGCTACCTGGGGCCAGGAATGTTCAACATGGAGGCTCCCTTTTCCCTTTTCTTTATCAACCATGTGTACAGTAAGGAGCAGACAACATGGTGCCGGCCAGGGAGAAAACCCATTTGCATAATAAAAGATTAGGGTGGAGTGGCCACTTTCTTCCTGTGCTATGTAAATGTCACACCTGGTCCAACCAATCTTTGGGCCCTATGTAAATCAGACACCGCCTCTTCAAGCCAGTCTATAAAACCCTGTGCGCTTCCCCATGGGACCGGAAGACCCAGTCGGGAGCCCCTCTCTCTCTGCAGGAGAGAGAGCTTTTCTCTTTCTCTCTATTAAATCTCTCTCACTATTAAGCCTCCACTTTTAAACTCACTTCTTGTGTGCCCACATCCTCATCCCCTAGCATGAGATGGCGAACCTCCAGTATTCACCCCCGACAGCGAGGCTGCTTCAGCATGAAGCCATTGAAAATAAAGGTTTTCTTTGTTACCGCAGCACAATCTTACCTATCCTGACTAATTTGGATTTCATATATGCCAGGGGATTCCAACGTCCCACAGAAGTCCTGAGAGGGCCTCTTGGTTGACTCACTCATGGAAACAGCCTTTTGGTGTTTTTACAACCTAGATTTATTTCAGAATCTAAGTTCATATGAGGATATATTTCTACGTACAGTTCCGTTTCCTTCTTCTCCCTCTGAATTACCTTCTCATTCTCACTTTGTTGTGGTGTGCTTGTTCCAAAGTGAAATAAATCAACGACTTCATCACAAAGCACATAGCTCACGTACTTTACATTCTCACTGAAACAAGACCTGAAAAAGGAGGAAATTTTTTTATTACAATTTTATTCCCCCTCAGGGACCATTCTGAATTTTACAATCCTAATATTTACTTCTTGTTATGGTAAAACCTTGAGTAAACCATCAGGGACTGAGTTGTTCTAGACAAGTGTTTTGCATAACTAGAGTTTATGCATTTAGGCATTAATATGCTGTTGACTCTCACATGTTTGGAAAGAAATATTAAATATGAAATAGGAAGCACAGTGAATGAACTGGGGTGACATATTTTGCCCTTTCATGGCAATTCAGGATTCACCTGAGTTCCTTAAATGTGCTATGCTCCCTGCAGAGGCTCACGCCATCATCTCTGCCTGGAGCAGTTTTTTACTTCCTTTGTCTCATTAAATTACTCCTATCCTTTGGTTGTCAGCTCACAGAGCAGTTCCCTCAGGCACAACTGTATACATTTACGAAAACTCATCTAACTGTTCACCTAAAACAGGTGAATTTTGTGGCATGTAAATTATACCTCAATAACACTGTTAAAAACAAAACACACTGTCCAGGAGGTGGTGCATGAACATAACCCTCGTTCTTCTTTAAAAAAAAAAAAAAAAATTTTTTTTGAGACAGGGTCTCCCTCTGTCATCCAGGCTAGAGGGCGCAGTGGCGCAATCTCTGCTCACCGCAGCCTCAACATTCAGGGCTCAAACGATCCTCCTGCCTCCGCCTCCCAAGTAGATGGGACCACAGGCATGTGTCAACATGCTGAGGTAATTTTTTTTTTTTTTTTTAGAGATGGGGTCTCGCTATATTACCCAGGCTGGTCTTGAACTCCTGGCCTCAAGCAGTCCTGCTACCTCGGCCTTCCAAAGGGCAAGGATTACAGGCTTGAGCCACCACTATGGACATTACCTCTGTAAGCTTCCTCCCAAAACCCATAACCCCAATTTAACCATGAGAAGAACATTAGACAAATTCTAATAGACGGCATCCTACAAAATCTACTGCATGAATACTCTTCAAAACTGTCAAGGTCATCAAAAGCAAGGAAAGGCTGAGAAATTGTCACAGCTAAGGGTAGCGTAAAGAGACGTGATGACTAAATGTAATATGGTTACACGGATGGGATCCTAAGACAGAAAAATGACATCAGATAGAAACTACAGAAATCTAATACCTGGCTGGGCATGATGGCTCATGCCTACAATCCCAGCACTTTGGAAGGCTGAGGCAGGTGGATCACTTGAGGCCAGGAGTTCAAGACCAGACTGGACAACATGGTGAAACCCTGTTGCCACTAAAAAGACAAAAATTATCCAGGCGTGGTGGCAGGTGCCTGTAATCCCAGCTACTCAGGAGACTGAGGCAGAAAAATCACTTGAACCCAGAAGGTGGAGTTTGCAGTGAGCCAAGATCATGCCACTGCACTCCAGCCTGGGTGACAGGGAGATTCTTCATCTCCAGAAAAAAAAAAAAGCAAAAGAAAAATCTGAGTATCTTGTGGACTTTAGTTAATAATAAGGTATCAACACTGGTTCAATATTGTAACAAATGTACCATACTGATGTAAGATGTTAGAAACAGAGGAAACAGTGCAAGATATATGGGAACTATTCTTTATATAAACTTCATGATTTCTCTGTAAATCAAATCTATAATGATTCCTAAAACTAAAGTTCATGGGCTGGGCGCGGTGGCTCACGCCTGTAATCCCAGCACTTTGGGAGGCCAAGACGGGCGGATCACAAGGTCAGGAGATCAAGACCATCCTGGCTAACACGGTGAAACTCCGTCTGTACCAAAAATACAAAAAACTTAGCCGAAACTTAGCCGAGCGTGGTGGCGGGCGCCTGTAGTCCCAGCTACTCTGGAGGCTGAGGCAGGAGAATGGCGTGAACCCAGGAGAAGGAGCTTGCAGTAAGCCGAGATCGCGCCACTGCACTCCAGCCTGGGCTACAGAGCGAGACTCTGTCTCAAAAAAATAAATAAATAAAATAAATAAATAAAGTTCATTTGGCCGGGCGCGGTGGCTTATGCCTGCAGTTCTAGCACTTTAGGAGACTGAGGCAGGTGGATCAGTTGAGTCCAGAAGTTCAAGACTGGCCTGGCTAACATGGTGAAACCCCATCTCTACTAAAAATACAAAAAATTACCCAGGCATGATGGTACACACTTGTAGTCCCAGCTACTCGGGAGGCTGAGGCACGAGAATCGATTGAACCTGGGAAGTGGAGGTTGCAGTGAGCTGAGATTGCACTACTGCACTCCAGCCTGGGCAACAGAGACTCTGGCTCAGAAAATAAATAAATAAATTTTATTTTAATTTACATTTTTTAGGAATTCCCCAGTTCCCAAGCCAGATCTAATCACCTGCTATGTGTTCATATAGCAATCTGGACTACTGGCTGAATGAATTAATTTATCACCATATGTAATTATATGTTTGTGCATTTTGCTCACTGCTGTATCTTAGTGCAAGGTCAGGGCCTGGCTCTTGACAAGTGCTTAGTAATAGACATAGAGTAAGTGCAGCCTCACAGAATAAAAGTTCCATGACAACAGGATTTCATCTGTTCTGTTCTCTGTTGTATCCCCATCACCTAGATGATGTCTGGCACACGGTACACATTCAATCAAGATAAATTCCTCCCCAAGTGGAGTCAAGAAATCTTTTCCCTGGTGATCCAGGGCTCTTGACCACCCTGGATCCCTTTGGGGTGGCCTGTCCACTGTAGGTTGGGGCCACAGGCTTGTGGGAAGGGGGGATTGACTTCCCTGGTCCTGGCTGAGGCTCCACATCTTCCTTCTGCACTGGGCTCTGCAGAAGGTTTTCAGCTGGGGCAACTCTGCTCAGTTAGTGCCATTTACCAAAATGAGGGAAAGTGAGAGAGGGGCAAGGAGGAGGAGCAGTTCGAAGAAGATCCGTGAGACATCTAACTGACAAGATCAAGTAGGAAATTGCATACAACTCAGGGGCAGCGTAAAGCTGTAGCTATAAAGCTGGAATTCATCAGCCTTATAGATGGTGTCTGAAACCATGAGAATGATAGTGCAGCCGCTGCGGGAAACATCATGGCGGTTCCTCAAAAGATTAAACGTGGAATGACCATAGGATCCAGCAATTCCGCTTCTAGGTATATACCCAAAAGAATTGAAAACAGGGTCTCAAAGAGACATTTATGTACAAATGTTTATAGCAGCATTATTCATAATACCAAAAGGTAGAAGCAACGAAAGTGTTTATCAATGGATTTTTAAAATGTGGTCTATCCATACAATGGAATATTATTCGCCCTTAAAAAGGAAGGACATTCTAACCCATGCTACATGGATGGACCTTGAGGACATTATGCTAAAGGAAGTAAGCCAATCACAGAAGAACAAATACTGTATGATCCCATTTATATGAGATCCCTACAGTAGTCAAATTCACAGAAACAGAAAGTAGAATGATGGTTGCCAGAGGCTAATGGAGGAGGAAATGGGGAGTTGTTGTTTCACAGAGACAGAGTTTCTGTTTGGGAAGATGAAAAGGCTCTGGAGATAGATGGTCATGATGGTTGCACAACAATGTAAACATACTTAATGCCACAGACTGTACTATTAAAAACAGTTAAAATGGCCAAGCACAGTGGCTCATGCCTGTAATCCTAACACTTTGGGAGGCTGAGGCAGTGGATTGCCTGAGCTCAGGAGTTCAAGACCAGCCTGGGCAACATGGTGAAACCCCATCTCTACTAAAATACAAAAAAAATTAGCCAGGCGTGGTGGCGGGCACCTGTAGTCCCAGCTACTTGGGAGGCTGAGGTAGGAGAATTGTGATTGAACCCAGGAGGCAGAAGTTGTAGTGAGTCGAGGTTGCGTCACTAAACTCCAGCCTGGGCAACAGCTTTAGACTCTGTCTCCAAAAAAAATTAATAATAATAATAATTAATGAATATAAAAATAAAAATGGTTAAAATGGTAAATGTTATGTATATATGGTTTTTTTTTTTCTGAGACGGAGTTTTGCTCTTGTTGCCCAGGCTGGAGTGCAATGGCACAATCTCGGCTCACTGCAACCGCCGCCTCCTGGGTTCAAGCGATTCTCCTGCCTCAGCCTCCCGAGTAGCTGGGATTACAGGCATGCACCACCACACCCGGCTAATTTTGTATTTTAAGTAGAGATGAAGTATCTCCATGTTGGTCAGGCTAGTCTTGAACTCCCAACCTCAGGTGATCTGCCTACCTTGGCCTCCCGAAGTGCTAAGATTACAGTCATGAGCAACCGCAATGGCCTTGTTATGCATATTTTACCACAATAAAAGAACTCATTATTATGTACTGAATGCTTCCTGTATGCCCAGCATGTTTTAAGTGCTGCCTGTGTTTCAAACTCATTGAATCCTCCTATTTCCAAGGTAGGTACAGTATCACCCCCATTATATAGGCAAGGAAAGCAGTGATCAGAGAAGTTAAGTAAAGGGCCTAAGCTCACACGGCTTCTAACTAGCCAGGCTAGGAATTGGATTTAGACAGTTGGGTTCCAGTGCCCAAGCTTTTTATTTAACAAACTGTATGAGCTATGAGAGATTATCTCACTACTACAAGAATTTATGTTTTACATCAAAAAGTAAATTTTTAGGCAGGGTGTGGTGGCTCACGCTGTAATCCCAGCACTTTGGGAGGCCAAGGCAGAAGGACCACTTGAGACCAGGAGTTCAAGACCAGCCTGGGCAACATAACAAGACATTGTCTCAAAAAAATAATAATTAGCCAGGCATGGTGGTGGTGCACACCTATAGTCCCTGCTACTTGGGAAGCTGAGGCAGGAGGATTGCTTGGGGCAACAGTGAGCTATAACAGCATCACTGCCTTCCAGCCTGGACAGAGTGAGACCCTGTCTCAAGAAAAAAAAAAAAAAAAAAAAAAAACGAAAACGGACCAGCCACGATGGCTCACGCCTGTAATCCCAGCACTTTGGGAGGCCAAGGCACTTGATCACTTGAGGTCAAGAGTTTGAGACTAGCCTGGCCAACATGTTGAAACTCTGTCTCTATCAAACATATAAAAATTAGTCAGGAGTGGTGGTGCGTGCCTGTAATCCCAGCTACTTGGGATGCTGAGGCAGGAGAATCACTTGAACTCAGCAGATAGAGGTTGCAGTGAGCTGAGATCGTGCCACTGCACTCCAGCCTGGGTGACAGGGAGAAACCCTGTCTCAAAAAAAAGAAAAAGGAAGAATGTTTTATGAGAATTTAAATGAAAGACTGAATTTACAACGCCTCTTACCACATTCAGACAGCATCTCCCTGCACAGGGCCTGGGGCTGCAGAAGGGATGAGGAGTTCGAGTGGGAAGGACAGTTAGACCATTTTATAATCTCTGCAAAATTGCTCTATGGCCAGGGATGACCCCCTCGAAGTACCCATCGGATGCTTCCTGTTGTGTGTGTGAGGCCAGAGGGGCCCACAGCACCTGTCCCTCCTTTGCCTTCAGAAGAATTCAGCCCCGACTCAGACCCTCTCAGCCAAGAGGCCAGAGCCCCAGTTCCAAGGCAGGTGGACCCAGGAATGAGATGTGCAGCTCCTTGGCAGCCGAGGGAGAAGCTTGCTATGCTATTTGGGGCTGCTCTGTTGTGTTATCAATTAAACGTCTCAGACAAAAGCAATGCCAAGTCGTGGCTACTCCAGACCTGCAGCTCAGAAACACACAGGGTCCTTACATGGCCTTTCCTCTGGGTGTGCCTGTGTTCTAATTGCCTCTTTGTATAAGGACACCAGGCATTTTGGTTAGGGCCCACCCTAAGGGCCTCATTTTTGTTGTTGTTGTTTTAAACTTTTATTTTGGGTTCAAGTGTACATGTGCAGGTTTGCTATATAGGTAAACTCATGTCATAGGGCTTGGTTTTACAGATCACTTTGTCACCTAGGTACTAAGCCTAGTACCCAATAGTTATCTTTTCTGCTCCTCTCCCTCCTCCACCCTCTAACCTCAAGTGGGCCCCAGTATGTGTTGTTCCCCTCTGTGTCCATGTGTTCTCATCATTTGGCTCCCACTTATAAGTGAGAACATGGGCTATTTGATTTTCTGTTCCTGCATTAGTTTGCTAAGGAAAAGGGAAGGGGCTTATTTTAACTTAATCACCAGTTTAAAGACCTTATCTCCAAATGTGTTACATTCTGAGATATTGAGGGTTAAGGCTTCAACATACGAATTTTGAAAGAGACATAGTTCGTCCTGTAACAGCATATAAATAACTAAGGAGGCCCCACCCAATAAAGCACTAGCATAATTCCAGTCAAAACGATTTGTTTAACTTATTGGAAAATAGATACCAAGGGAGGCAAAGAAACTGCATTGTTCCGTCATCTTCATTTCTGCTCTCAACTGCTTTCAAAAACATTTCAAAAACAACATCTATGGTAGTTTAAATCTCAGCACTTGTTAGCTATGGTTTTTCTCCCCAGTGTTTTTTGTTTTGTTTTGTTTTTGAGATGGAGTCTCGCCTTGTCGCCCAGGTTAAGTGCAATGGTGAGATCCCGGCTCACTGCAACCTCCGCCTCCCAGGTTCAAGCGATTCTCCTGCCTCAGCCTCCCAAGTAGCTGGGATTACAGGCGTGTACCACCATGCCCAGCTAATTTTTTGTATCTTTAGTAGAGATGGGGTTTCACCATGTTGGCCAGGCTGGTCTCAAATTCCTGACCTCATGAACCGCCCGCCTCAGCTCCCAAAATGCTGGGATTACAGGTGTGAGCACCGTGCCCCTCCCGTCTCCCCAATTTTTTAAAACTTCAGTCGCATAGTCTATCCCCAAAGGAAGGTAAAGATCAAAAAACAACCCAAAGCGTTACTATCATCTGTAGCCAACATAACATAACCAGCACAAGAATCCAGCTTGTGTGATCTTTGTTGAAATAACATCACTGATAATTTCATCATTGATAATTTCACCAAGAAATAACAAATGAGAATATCTGGGGTATTCCCTTGATTTCTTTTCTGTCCATCGGTATTTTACTTTGTTGACAACCTTCTTTATACTGAAATCAGAATCTTGCTTTTTTCTCTCATGCTCATTTCCCAACAACATGAACCATGATTCACTTACATGTCGAATGTCTGCATGATAATATTGCGTGGTGTTTCATCTTATTTACCTAACCATTGTCCAATTGCTGGACATTGGGTTAACATTTACAAATAATGCTGACAGACGTTATTGTCATATATCCTTTCTGGTTATTTCTCTTTTTTTGAGACAAGGTCTTGTTCTGTCAACCAGGCTGGAGTACAGTGGCATTATCAAGGCTCACTGCAGCCTCAACTTCCCAGGCTCAATTGATCTTCCCACCTCAGCCTCCTGAGTAGCTGGGACTCCAGGCACGCATCACCACGCCCAGCTAATTTTTGTATTCTCTGTAGACACAGGGTTTCACCATGTTGCCCAGGCGATCTCAAACTGTGGGCTCAAGCGATCCACCCACCTCAGCCTCCCAAAGTGCGGGGATTACAAATGTGGCCACCACGCCCAGCCTTGCTGGCTATTTCTTTAGGCTAATCGGGTTTCTACAAGTGAAGTTACTATGTCAAATATTCACACATTTGTTTGAAAGCCTTTTGGAATACAGGAAAACATCTGTCTTTTCAGGTTCTTTGACTTTGCCAGTCAGAGAATAATCTGTCAGCCACCCCTGCCATGCTAACCCAACATTTGGTCCTCTGTTCCTACACAGGATGTCCTCACCCTCTGCCCACCTTCCCACTCAAAGCACAACCATGAGTTCCAATCATTACAGGGTGCTGTGACAGGTGCTGGGAAAAGAAAGGTCATACAACTGCCAATAGGGGATGAAAGGTAAGGAGGGTCATAGAAGAGCTTGCATATGTGATGCACTTCTCTGAAGAGCTCAAAGGTTTTCAGAGACACGGCCTTTTTCATCTTCATAGGTGTATTGTTTTTCCTTCCGAGTCAGACCCAAACATAAACCTTATGCATTGGCTTCTATTTACACGCTCACTCCTGTTTTCTTGACACTCCCTAAAGTGGCTTTTATAGATCGGACTTCGGGTTCGTATACATGACAAAAAAGCCCCAAACTGATCTGTTCATCTCTCACCCCTAAGACCCATAGGAGTGACAAGCATGGTTACTCATGCCTGTAATCCCAGCACTTCGGGAGGCCAAAACCGGAGGATCACCTGCATCACCTGAGCCCAGGAGCTTGAGACCAGCCGGGGAAACATAGTGGGACTTTGTATTAGTCCGTTCTCACGTTACTTTAAGGAACTACGTGAGACTGACCGGGCGCAGTGGCTCAAGCCTGTAATCCCAGCACTTTGGGAGGCCGAGGCGGGTGGAACACGAAGTCAGGAGATCGAGACCACCCTGGCTAATACAGTGAAACCCCGTCTCTACTAAAAATATAAAAAATTAGCCGGGCGTGGTGGTGGACGCCTGTATCCAGCTACTCGGGAGGCTGAGGCAGGAGAATGGTGTGAACCCGGGAGGTGGAGCTTGCAGTGAGCCAAGATCACGCCACTGCACTCCAGCCTAGGGGAGAGAGCGAGACTCTGCCTCAAAAAAAAAAAAAAAAAAAAAAAAAAAAAAACTACCTGAGACTGGATAACTTATAAAGGAAAGAGTTTTAATTGGCTTACAGTTCCACAGTTTAACAGGAAGCATGACCGGGAGGCGTCAGGAAACTTACAATTACAGCAGAAGGCGAAAGGGAAGCAAGCACGTCTTAACATGGCAAAGCAGGAGCCAGCGAAGGGGGAAGTGCCACGCTTTTAAACAACCAGATCTCATGAGAACTCACTTACTGTCACGAGAACAGCAAGGGGGAAGTCCGCCCCCGTGATCCAATCACCCCCTACCCAGTGCCTCCTTCGACATGTGGGAATTACAGTTCGAGATGAAATTTCGGTGGGGACACAGACCAAACCATATCAGACCCCACCTCTACAAAAAATTGAAATACAAAAATTAGGCAAGTGTGGTGTTATGTGCCTATAGCTCCTCAGGAGGCTGAGGTGGGAGGATCCCTTGAGCCCAGGAGTAGAAGGCAGCAGAGAGCTAGGATTGTGCCACTGCACTCCAGCCTGGGCGACAGAGAGAGATCCTGTCTCTAAAAAAAAAAGAAAGAAAAAGAGACATTATTCCAGCAAGCAGTTTTCAAACTGGGGAGAGGACGCCTTCTGTACGAAACAAAAGTGCACTCCACTAGAACCAAGAGGGGACTGTCTTGCTGGGGAAAGTTCCAGCCCGGGATCCCCCTCCAGTCTGCTATGCAAATGAGACATGTAAGCTCGCTCAATCCTGATTGGTTGATGTTAAAACTGACCACAGATCCGAGTTCATGGATCAGGTCCAGATGGCAGAATGGGACCTTCCAGCAGCAGTTGATTCTGCTGGCATCGACAGGGCCAGACGGCTATGAAAGCTCCAAAGTTTAACTACTCTTCAGCTTGTTTAGGGTACAAGTGTAACCTCCAGTTGGCAAATGGCTCTCAGCTCCATCAGGACTTAGATCCAGTTACCCACTCACAATCTGTCTTGAAGGGTGACACTTTCTGGGTTCACACATTTCTCCTTGATACTATACAAGAAGATCGGTCCGGATTTTCAATAATAGACTGGTCTATCTTGGCAGAGGGTGTCCATTAGAATATAAATGAGCAAAAAGGAGAAATATATGCCTGATTTTAAAGTTATAGAAGTCTGACCTACAGTCATCATTGACAGAAATGTATCTGGGGATTGCAAGTTTCAACTTTAACCCCCTCTTAATCACTTGGAACTTATGAACAAATGGACTTATAAACAGCCTGTTTGTAAGTAAAAGGAGATAGATTTCGTTAAGTGAATTAATATCTGGTTGAACAACTTTACCAAGACATACAGGTTGAGAGTCTCATAACTAATCTAAAATGAGGTCTCCATGGCTTGGTCAGTCTTCATTTCTGCCCTGTGCAGAACTCTCCAATTTGTCATGGAATAGGAAAATCAGAAAGCAATATGCTGTATCTGCACTGTTATAAATGTGTAGAAGTAAAAAATCGTGGTTCTTATACAAATATAAAATAAGCCAGGTGTGGCGGCTCGCTCCTGTAATCCCAGCACTTTGAGAGACTGAAGCAGATGGATAACTTGAAGCCAGGAGTTCAGGACCAGCTGGCCAACATGGTGAAACCCCATTTCTACTAAAAATACAAAAATTAGCAGGGCATGGTAGCACACGCCTGTAGTCCCAGCTACTCAGGAAGCTGTGACATGGGAATCGCTTGAGCCCAGGAGGTGGAGGTAGCAGTGAGCCAAGATTGTGCTACTGCACTCCAGCCTGGGCAACAGAGGGAGACTCTGTCTCAAAAACTACACACACACACACACACACACACACACACACACATACACATACACACATATATATGCATATATAATGAATATATGCGTGTATATATGTGCATATATATGCATATATAATATATAATGAATATATATGCATAAATATACGCGTGTATATATATATATATATAATGAACATGTGTCCAAGATTTTTAAATTAACTTAACTCATTAATTGATGATGCAGACAGCAAAATATTACAACTGGCTGAAAGAGAATCCAAAGAACAGACATATCTACAAGCAATCAGGAGTGCTGAAATAAATTTACTAAGAGGTGCAAGACTGACAGCCTCTTTATGGGGTAGAAATCAATTGCATTTCTACCAGACAAAACTCGTTTGTATCTCTATGGACAAGAATCATTTCCATAACCTTGTGTTTTCTATAATTTACAGTTACAAAATAGTTCAGTCAAAAACGATGAAAGACACAGACCCCTGTGAAATCAGACAACCCTGAAGCCTCTGCTAGATAATACCCAGCCATCCACTGAAAGGAAACTCAGTAATCTTTCTGCCCATTTCAAGGCCTTTTCCTGACAAAAAGAGGAGATTTAATCATCATAAAGCAATCTGAAGCTCTGTGCTGGGACCACGTACAAGGAGAGAGTGGAAAGGTTGCAGCTTAGCACTAGTGTATGTGGGAATGTCTTGGGAGTTTAAATCAGCATTATATTCCAAGATTCAATGTGATGAGGCTGCCAAAAACTTTTTGGCTTTTTTTTTTTTTCAATTCAGGCATCATCTCTAGAATGAAAGAAAGGAAGAAACTGCTGTGGTCAGCTATGATCAGACAGACTACTGGATTTTGTGTACCACATTTTACAAGGGCTAGACAGAGTCAGAAAGGTAAGGGAATGTGACACCCATGTGTAAGGAGTGCTGGAAGAAGCCAGGAATATTTAAAGAGGAAAAAGCTCACACAGAAATGGACAGTTGTCTTCAAATACTTGTAGGACAACTGAGGAATAAGGCTTAAGGAACACCTTCCTAAATAATAACCAAGCTGATGATGATGATGGTGATGATGGTGATGATGATGGTGATGATGATGATGACAGTGTCAGTCAACATTAATTGAGCTTTACTACATTATTTGAGCTTTATTAGGTGTCAAACCATGGGCTGAGCGCTTTACAAGTGCCCTCTCATTTAACCCTCATGACAGTGAGAAACTAGTTTCCCGGCCCACACTTGGTAGACAGAGATGTCAAACTTTTGGTGGAATTAGAGGCCTTTAAGTCCCCTTTGAGCTCTAAGATTACATGGTTCTGTGTCACTCTTCTTCTCAAAGACGTTTGATGAATCCCTAATGGCTACTATATTAAGTACAAATTCCCCAGCCTGCCAACAGAAGCTCTTCACAGCATTGCTCAAATCAAGCTCTCCAGATTCATCACCAAAATACTACTACCATCATTTTAAACACCACGACCACCACTACCCCCATCAAACATACCAAATGCAGCCATGCAAGATACTCACTCAACCAGCTCTCAATCAACTCAATCAACCATCCAATCTCTATAGTCCTACTCATGCCCTTCCATCTCCAACGGTGCCTCCTCCATAGTCATTCTAGTGCATTCTTTCCCTCCTCTTCCACCATCTCCCTTCCTGCAATAGCACTTTTGCCACATGCTGGTCACTATCAGAGTCACTTATTAGTACTTGTTTTATCACTTCTAGGTTGCAAGCTCCTTGAGGGGGCCGCTGCTGAATGAATTCGTTGAAGGGCCAGAGAGGGAAAGTGGGACGTAGACAGGGCAAGGGAAGCTCAGGAAACAATCTAAGGCAACAGGATTAACGTCAGGTCCTTTGCTGGGGAAGCAATTTCTGAAATGCCTTTATCCCAGGTGCATCCCTGAGAGTTATTTTTTCAGCTCTTACGGGTATGAGCAACGGTGTCAGGGAAAGAAACTTGGCTTTCTGAAGAGAGATGGTCTACCTGGAGTAGAGGGCATTCCCATTAGGTAAAAAGAGCAGAGTCAAGGCTTCATTCTTTTAGTTCCTAGCCCAAGACAGGTGGTCAAGAAAGGTTTTTGTTTTATTTTGCTTTGTTTTTTAAAGGCAGGGTCTTGCTCTGTCACCCACGTTGGAGTGCAGTGGTATAATCATAACTCACTATAACCTCAAATTCCTAGGCTCAAGCAGTCCTCCTGTCTCAGCCTCCTGAGTAGCTTGGACTACAGGTGTGCGCCACAGCACCCAGCTGATTTTTAACTTTTTTTTTTTTTTTTTTTTGTAGAGACAGGGTCTCACTATGATGCCCAGGCTGGTCTCTAACTCCTGGCCTCCAATGATCCTCCTGCCTCAACCTCCCAAAGTGCTGGGATTACAGGTGTGAGCCACCACGCCTGGCAAAGAAAGCTTTACTAAATGACTTTATTTATTGTAGTGAGGGCCGAGACTGGTTAGGTGCATTTGGGTCAAAATCATGGAAGGCCTTGAATACCAGGACAAAGGGAGCACTTATGGATTCCTGACCAAGACGGTGCCTTGATTCTCCCTAAATGTCTTACAAGTATTTTTTGTATTTATATTATTGTATGCATTTTAAAAAATATGCTCATATGATTTTCTTTTTTTTTTTTTTTTTTTTGAGATGGAGTCCTGCTCTGTTGCCCAGGCTGGAGTGCAATGGCGTGATCTCGGCTCACGGCAACCTCCACCTCCTGCTTTCAAGCGATTCTCCCCTCTCAGCCTCCCAAGTAGCTGGGATTACAGGCACACCAACACCATGCCTGGCTAATTTTTGTATTTTTGGTGAAAATAGGGTTTTGCCATATTGGCCAGCTGGTCTGAAACTCCTGACCTCAAATGATCCGCCCACCTCAGCCTCCCAAAGTGCTGGGATTACAGGCGTGAGTCACCGCGCCCGGCCCAATTTTCTCATTTCTGACCTCTTATTCACACAGATCTTGTTCTGATTGCTTCTAAACACTATCACAGGCATTTGATAGTTTTGTATTTCTTCTGCTTTTGTCATTCCCCACCTAGTCCTAGAATGTACTTTTACTCTCTGTCTTGGACATATAAATTTCCTTTTCCTCTCCCCTCCCTGAATCCGTAAGCACCTCTATCATGCCCTTTAACTTGTCTGCTTTTCTCTCAAAGATCTTCCCTTTTTCCTCCCTTTGCTGTCCAACTGTCCTGATTCTACTGACCATCACTTACTTCGGTTTTAGGTTCCCCAATTCCCATTACTTAGATCCTACTCATTTCCCACAGAAGGCTGCAGAGAACAATAACCTCAGCCAGAAAGCAATCAGGAATTATTCACTGATTGGTGGGTTGCCTGCACTTTTCACATCTCTTTTCCAGAACCACTGGGAGCACCAGCAGATCCTGCCCACCTGTGAGATGGGCAGAACCCTGGCCGTCCTGCCTGCGGAGACAGCTTTAGGATGATGCTGGAAGCTACTGCTTCACCCACTGCTGTCCAAGAAGCCTTACCCACATGATCTCAACCTTCAAACAGCCCTGTCATGTGGGTTCCTGCCCCTATTCCACTGATAAAGATGTTACAATTTAGAGAAATCTTTTTTTTTTTAGACGAAGTTTCACCCTTTTTGCCCAGGCTGGAGTGTGGAGCGCAATGGTGCGATCTCGGCTCACTGCAACCTCCACCTCCCAAGTTCAAGCGATTCTCCTGCCTCAGCCTCCACAGTAGCTGGGATTACAGGTGCCCGCCATCACACCCAGCTAATTCTTTGTATTTTTAGTAGAGACAAGATTTCACCATGTTGGCCAGGCTGGTCTCAAACTCCTGACCTCAGGTGATCCACCCGTCTCAGCATCCCAAAGTGCTGGGACTACAGGCGTGAACCACCGCTCCTGTAATTTCTGTTTATAAAGATTTTCTTTTAAGAATTGCCAAGATTAGGCCAAGCAAATCCCACCTCCCAAAGTGCTGGGATTACAGGCATGACTTGTCCAGCCAAGGTAGAAGGATCGCTTGAGTTCAGGAGTTTGAAACCAGCCTGGGCAACATGGTGAGAACCCCGTGTCTACAAAAAATGTAAAAATTAGCGGGGCACAGTGGCATGCGCCTGTAGTCCCAGCTACTTGGGAGACTGAGGTGGGGGGAATACTTGAGCCCGGGAGGTCAAGGTTGCAGTGAGTCATGATGGTGCCACTGCACTCCAGCCTGGGTGACAGAGAGAGACCCTGTCTCAAGAAAAAGAAAGAAAAGAAAAGAAAAGAAAAAAACAGGATTGTAACAAATCCATTCACTTCCTGTCCCTCTCTCTTTACAGCTTCAGCAGCACAGCCTCCATCTTTGGACCCAAGCTTGGAAAGCATAGCTCCCTCTTTTAGACGTTGTCCATTTCAAAGCATCTCCAGTCTGGATCAACAGAAGGATGATGTGTTTATGTCCTTCCCTGTCTGTTCCTTAAAGCAACCTTAAGTCTGGAACATGAATTCTCTTTTTTAAACAAATTTAAAAACTTTGTAGAGAATTCAAAAGGTACAAAGGGTAGCCACACAGGCTACCATTGTCACCGCTTCCTTGTAGCTTCTGGACTCTTGGTGGCATTTGCCAATTCAAACAAAGAAAAAGTCTATGTGAATAGTTTTGTTTTCCCCTGTGACTTTAAGCTACTTAAAAGAAAATTTGGCCAGACACCGTGGCTCACTCCTGTAATCCCAGCACTTTGGGAAGCTGTGGCAGGCAGATCACGAGGTCAGGAGTTTGAGACCAGCCTGACCAACATAGAGAAACCTCGTCTCTACTAAAAATACAAAACAATTAGCCGGGCGTGGTGGCACATGCCTGTGATCCCAGCTACTCAGGAGGCTGAGACAGGAGAATCGCTTGAACCTGGGAGGTGGAGGTTGCAGTGAGCCGAGCTCGCGCCATTGCACTCCAGCCTTGGAACAAGAGTGAAACTCTGTCTAAAAAAAAAAAAAAAAAAAAAGCATGGTCTTTGTCTTAACCCTCCTGGCATCCTCATATAGTTCACGAAAAAAGAGAGAGACAGGAAGAGGAAGAATCGCTTCTGTTAATCCTCTTCACCTAGCTTCACTTGGCAACATCATCAGTTCTCCTCATTTGCATGATCTGTTCTTTCTCTCACTATTATTGAGTGTTCCAGTCTCTGCTTATTGGCAAAATAAGACCTAGGTTTCTCATTAGTTTGTGTTTACTGAAGAGTCAAAGGCTAAAGATTTTACCTTGCCCGGCAATATTTTCTGTCTCCAAAGCAGTATCTGACTGACTCTCTGGTGCCGACAATTGAGAATACTGGCAAGAAATGAGCTGGTGAGGGTGTGCCATCTGCTTCTAAAACTTCATTCAGAAAGTTACATGCAGTTTACAAATATAATGTCTCAAAATACACTCAGAGGCAGCTGTGTTGGTGCTCTAGGGTGTCAGAGCCGTAAAGAGGTAAAAGGCTCAGAAGTCAGCCGAATCCCAGCTGGGTCTTCCCCCAGCCACCAGACTTGGAAAGGCTGCGAGCTGCTCTGAGCTGCTTCTGTGTTGAGCTCTACCTCTCAGGGTTTCTGAGGCTACTGAGCTAACAAACGCAAATGTCTACCATACTCCGCTGGGCGCGGTGGCGCACGCCTGTAATCCCAGCACTTTGGGAGGCCAAGGCGGGCGGATTGCCTGAGCTCAGGAGTTTGAGACCAGCCTGGCCAACTTGGTGAAACCCCGTCTCTACTAAAAATATGAAAGATTAGCCGGGGGTGGTGGCGGGCGCCTGTAATCCCAGCTACTCGGGAGGCTGAGGCAGGAGAATCGCTTGAACCCGGGAGGCGGAGGTTGCAGTGAGCCGAGATCGCGCCATTGCACTCCAGCCTGGGAGACAGAGACCCCGTCTCAAAAAACAAAAAAAAAAAAAAAAAAAAAAAAGAAGGAAGAAGAAGAAGAAAATTAAAATCAGCTGGGCATTTTTTTTCCCCATGGTATAAAAATGAAGGCCGCCCAGAAGCACAGTCCTGCACTTTTCCCTCCAGCCTGGCCTTGCTTAGAGCTGCTCTGCTCGACAGGGTGCTCCGAGTGAAGAGGGCGCACCCCGCTACCTGCGCGCCTTGGCTCCCTGCCTCTCCAGCCGCACCTCCGGGTGGAATTTACCTGGAATGATCGCTTTCCTCCCCGCCCCCACCCCGGCCACTCTCAGGTCCTCCTGTCATTTCACCTTTTCTCTGCTTCACAGAACCCTTGAATGGTAATCTGCTTTTATTTTCCTGAACTTCTGAACTCTTCCTGTGTCTTTAACCTCCGGTCGTTGGCGATCAGCCTCGGATTCCTTTATCTGCCGTTGGCTTGGCTGAGGCTTTTGCCGTGGGAGAATCGGAGAATTTTTCACAGTGGTTCTGTCTCACGCGTGATCACACTTACCTGCCACGCCGCCTGTGCTTTCTCCCTTTTCTCTCCCTCCTTTACAGCTGAGCAAACATTTCCTCTCCTATCGGTGCTTGCACGCCAGGGTTTTTTCCTTTGCGATCTGGTCTGCCCTGCCTGGCGCTCCCCACCCACTTCTTCCAGGCTATTCCCGGTCTTTAGTCCTACAGGTGCCAGATTCTAGGCTATTGCTGGGCAAAATGAAATGGTCTTTAGTCCCACAAGTGACAGAGATGATACCATCTCCCCAGCTCCTCCAAGGAATTCTGAACCACCTTGTCGGTTTCAGGAGTCTCAAGTTCAAGTGCTGGGAAACCTGTGTTTGTAGGCTGAGTAACCGCCCAGCTCAGCTCAGTAACCCGGGAACGTGGCTCTGCTCCCCAAGGTGGAAGGCTCACTCCACCACCTCCCGTGTGCAAGCCTACATTCTCCTGTCCACACCCGAGTTCCGCTAAGTATTTTACTTGGCTGGCATTGCCGTGTCTTTTTAGCCATACTAAAACGGCGTCTTTCATACCAGCTTCCTGTCTCACTGAAGATGGAGAAGTGTTTGTTTCTTGTCCGGCTTGGTGTGGTGCAACCGCAAGACTAAATCAGAGGCTCCCATTTTTTATCCCCATATATTTTTTAGGGCGTGTCATGAATTCTCGCTGTTAGTAACACACTTTTTCTAAATTTCAAAAGTTGTGTCTTTGAGGATTACAGTGGAGAGATTTTTGTCATCTCAATTCTCCTCGCAAAATTTTTGCCTTGGAATATTTTACAGGTGATCAAATGTCTATTTATTTATTTATTTATTTATTTATTTTTGAGGCGGGGTCTCACTCTGTCGCCCAGGCTGGAGTGCAGTGGCACAAACTTGGCTCACTGCAGCCTCCTCCTCCTGGGTTCAAGCCATTCTCGTCTCTCAGCCTCCCGAGTAGCTAGGATTACAGGATCATGCCACCATGCCTGGCTAATTTTTCTACTTTTAGTAGAGACGGAGTTTCACCATGTTGGCCAGGCTGGTTTTGAACTCCTGACCGCAGGTGATTCACCCACCTCAGCCTCCCAAAGCGCTGAGATTACAAGCGTGAGCCACTGCGCCCGGGCTTTTTTGAGACTGTGTCTTGCTCTGTCGCTCAGGCTGGAGTGCAGTGGCACCATCATAGCTTACTGCAGCCTCAAACTCCTGGGCTCAAGGGATCTTCTCACCTCCTGCCTCCCAAAGCACTGAGATTATAGGCGTGAGCCACCACACCTGGTCCAAATGTCCTTTCTAAATGGTGGTGGTCCTTTCTAAACTATGTAAGTCCCTTTTTGTTAGGGAGTTTCCTTTTTATCTTACGGAAAACGAGAGACATTGATATAGGAGTTAGGAAGAAATCACTTAAGCAGATAGTGAGGGTATGGAAGTCCTCAGTAAGGCTTTTTCTTTTTAATGAAAAGCAGTCCCAAATCACTTTCTAACAAAGAGCAGTGTGTAAAGTCTGCAGACATAGACAAGCAAATTGGGAGCTTGCACAGGTGAATGCGAGCAGGAACTAGGAGCTAGACATGTTCAGCATGGCAGATCCATTTTCCCTTCTCTGCCAGCCACGTGTACACTAAGGAGCAGAAAAGATGGCACCAGACAAAGGGAGAATTCACTTGCATAATAAGATTAGGGTAGGCACCCACCACCACGCCTGGCTAATTTTTGTATTTTTTAATAGGGACGGGGTTTTGCCATGTTGGTCAGGCTGGTCTCGAACTCCTGACCTCAGGTGATCTGCCCACTTCAGCCTCCCAAAGTGCTGGGATTACAGGCATGAGCCACCACACCCAGCCTCCTTTTCCTTCTTGAATCTGATCTCCAGATGACTCAATTACTTTGCAGTTCTATAATCTCACCCTCCTTCCCTCGTCAGTTCATTCTCGCATTTGCCACTGTACATTCTGGTATAAAATTTATTCTGGGGCCAGGCACGGTGGCTCACACCTATAATCCCAGCATCTTGGGAGGCTGAGGTGGGAGGATTGCTTGAAGCCAGGGGTTCCAGGCTACACTGAGCTATGATCATGCCACTGCACTCCAGCCAGGGCGACAGAGCAAGAAAATGTCTCTCTAAAAAAAAAAAAAAAAAAAAATTCTCTTTTTTGTTTGTTTATTTGTTTTTGGACAGTATTGATCTGTCGCCCACACTGGAGTGCAGTGGCATAATCACAGATCACTGCAGCCTTGACCTCCTAGGCTCAGGTGGTTCTCCCACCTCAACCTCCCAAACAGCTGGGAATACAGGTGCATGCCACCATGGCCAGCTCATTTTTGTATTTTTTTGTATAGATGGGGTTTTGCCATGTTGCCCAGGCTGCTCTCAAACTCCTGGGCTTAAGCAATCCTCCTGCCTTCTGCCCCCACCACACCTGGCCAAAAATTCTGTTCTTTACCTTCACAGTGGGGACCCCTTGGTTTCTCCTCCTCGATTTCACCCACTATCCCCGTAAGGACAAATGAAAGAAATGGAAGCAAGGAGATGCCCTGAGGAATAGCAACTCTTGTAAGCAGTGACTGGACTGCCGAATCCTGGGGTTCAACCACCAGCTTTCTTTGGGGGCCTCATCCTGTGTTAGGTTTCAACAGCTTCCTTGAAGTCTAAGCCACAGCTCCATCCTCATTTCCAAAAGGGTGTTCCCAAGTTGATGTTCCTTTTGGCTCTTCTCATACACATTTTTCCCCCAAATGTTCCAATAAGAAACAAATGTGAGCACTTCCCTACAGAAGTAAACTAAGAACCTGCGGAATCGCAGATGTTTAGAGGTGGAATAGCGCTAGGCCAGGGAGTATCTTTTTCCCACTGGGATGGAGCATAGGCCATGTGGATGTTTTCATTGACAATAGCAGCAATTTGACAAGAGTCCATGGATGGTGGTGTAGGACATGCCTCAAACATGAATCCAGACCATGCAGAGGCTTCACTCATCTATATTTTCTTTCTTTCTTTCTTTCTTTTTGAGATGGAGTTTTGCTCTTGTTGCCCATAATGGAGTGCAATGGTGTAATCTCGGCTCACTGCAAATTCCGCCTCCTGGGTTCAAGTGATTCTCCTGCCTCAGCCTCCTGAGTAGCTGGGATTACAGGCATGCGCCACCACGCCTGGCTAATTTTGCATTTTTAGTAGAGACGAGGTTTCTCCATGTTGGTCAGGCTGGTCTCGAACTCCCGACCTCAGTTGATCCGCTCGCCAAAGTGCTGGGATTACAGGCGTGAGCCACCGTGCCCGGAAGAATTTACTTTCTCCTCCCAGTTAATGTTTGCTCTCAGAAAGGAAGCTGATCAAGGTAATTTATGCCCTATGATTGCTTTTGAGATATAATATACATATCATAAAATTCACCCTTTCAAAGGGCACAATTCAGTGGTTTTCAGTGTATTCCAATGATGTGCAACCATCACCACCATATAATTCTAGAACATTTTTGTCACCCCCCGAAAGAATCTCTGTCCCCAATAGTAGTCATTCCCATTCCCCTCTTTCCCAGCCCCTGGCAACCAGCAATATATTTTCTGTTTCTGGGAATCTGCCTATTCTGGATATGCCCTAGAAAAGGCATCACAATATATGATCCTTCGCACCTGGCTTCTTTTACGTAGAATAGTGTTTTCAAGGTTCATCCATTTTGTAGCATGGATCAGCACTTGATTCCTTTTTATGGCTGAGTATTATTCTATTGTGTGGTTATATAGAACTCATTTGTTTTTTTGTTTTTTTATTGGGCTTTTATTTAAAAATACTTTTTTAAAATTATACTTTAAGTTCTAGGGTACATGTGCACAACATGCAGGTTTGTTACATATGTATACATGTGCCATGTTGGTGTGCTGCACCCATTAACTCTTCATTTAACGTTAGGTATATCTCCTAATGCTATCCCTCCCCCCACACCCATGACAGGCCCCGGTGTGTGACTTTCCCCTTCCTGTGTCCAAGTGTTCTCATTGTTCAATTCCCACCTATAAGTGAGAACATGCGGTGTTTGTTTTTTTGTCCTTGCGATAGTTTGCTAAGAATGATGGTTTCCAGCATCATCCATGTCCCTACAAAGGACATGAGCTCATCCTTTTTTATGGCTGCATAGTATTCCGTGGTGTATATGTGCCACATTTTCTTAATCCAGTCTATCATTGATGGACATTTGGGTTGGTTCCAAGTCTTTGCTATTGTGAATAGTGCCACAATAAACATATGTGTGCATGTGTCTTTATAGCAGCTTGATTTATAATCCTTTGAGTATATACCAAGTAATGGGATGGCTGGGTCAAATGGTATTTCTAACAACTCGTTTGTTTATCCATTTGTCACCTGATGGATATTTGTGTCGTTTCCATCTTTTAGCTGTTGTGAATAATGCTGCTGGGAACATTCGTGTACATATATGTGTGGACATACATGTGAAATATATGTGTGGACATATATTTCGTTTCTCCTGGTTGTATCCTTAGGAGTGGAATTTCTGGTTCACATGGTAATGCTATTTTTAATCTTTTGAGGAACTGTCAAACTATTTTCCAAACTGGTTACATCATTTACATCCACCACAACAACATATGAGGATTCTAATTTCTTTGTGTCTTCACCAGCACTTGCTTTTGTCTGTCTTTCTGATTCTAGTCATCCTAGTGGGTATGAAGTGGTATCTTAGTGGGGCTTTGATTGTCATTTCTCTAATGACTAACGATGTTGAACATCTTTTCATGCATTTATTGACCATTGTATCTTTTTTTTTTTTTTCTGAGACGGAGTCTTGCTCTGTCCCCCAGGCTGGAGTGCAGTGGCACAATCTGTACTCACTGCAAGCTCTGCCTCCCAGGTTCAAGCAATTCTCCCACCTCAGCCTCCTGAGTAGCTGGGATTACAGATGCATGCCACCACACCCAGCTAATTTTTGTATTTTTTAGTAAAGACAGGGTTTCGTCATGTTGTCCAGGCTGGTCTCGAACTCCTGACCTCAGGTGATCCACCTGCCTTGGCCTCCCAAAGTGCTGGGATTACAGGCGTGAGCCACTGCTCCTGGCCACCTCCTAATACTTTTAAAGTCAAATTAAAGCTAATTACTTACTATCCAGAAACGAACAAACCCAACATTTCTACCAGTCCCGCTGTGCATTATATAACCACTTCCTGACAGGAACAGAATGTTACACTAACAGGATTGACCTATTAGTCATTGTAGTTAAAGCGGACTTTAATTGGTCATATAATGTAAGTGCTTCCAATTTAACTCCACTCCCATGACATCATGAAATTTGGGTACTACAAAGGATTCTTGGCGAAAGAAAATAGAGATGAGCCAGGTGCAGTGGCTCACGCCTGTAATCCCAGCACTTTGGGAGGCAGAGGCCATTGGATCACTTGAGGCCAGAAGCCAACCTGGCCAACATGGTGAAACCCTGTCTCTACTAAAACTACAAAAAAAAATAGCCACGTGGTGGCACATGCACCTGTAGCCCCAGCTACTTGGGAGGCTGAGGCACGAGAATCACTTGAACCTGAGAGGCGGTGGTTGCAGTGAGCCAAGATCATGCCAGTGCACTCCAGCCTTGGTGACAGAGCAAGTATCTGTCTTAAAAAAAGAAAAGAAAAGAAAAGAAAGGGCCAGGCGTGGTGGTTCATGCCTGTAATCCCAGCACTTTGGGAGCCCAAGGTGGGCAGATCACTTGAGGCCATGAGTTCAAGACCAGCCTGGGCAACATGGTGAAACCCTATCTCTACTAAAAAATATAAAAATTAGTTAGGCATGGTGGTGGGCACCTGTAATCCTAGCTACTCGGTGGAGGGTGAGGCACAAGAATCGCTTGAACGAGGGAGGCAGAGGTTGCAGTGAGCCAAGATCGTGCCACTGCACTAAAGCCTGGGCAACAGAGCAAGACTCTGTCTCAAAAAAAAAAAAGAAAAGAAAAAAAAGTCAAGCCGGGCACGGTGGCTCACACCTGTAATCCCAGCACTTTGGGAGGCTGAGGCGGGTGGATCATTTGAGGTCAGGAGTTCAAGACCAGCCTGGCCAACATGGTGAAACCCCATCTCTACTAAAAATACAAAAATTACCAAGGCGTGGTGGCACATGCTTGTAGTCCCAGCTACCAGGGAGGCTGAGGCAGGAGAATTGCTTGAACCCAGGTGGTAGAGGTTGCAGTGAGCCGAAATCGTGCCACCACATTCCAGCCTGGGTGACAGAGCAAGACTCCATCCCAAACAAAAAAAAAAGAAAAGAAAAGAAAAGAAAAAAAAAAGTTGTTTCAGGCACCAAAAACCAGAAAGTGGACTTTTGAAAGGTTGCAAACAACAAAATATGTACATGCTTTTCTTGCAGCTAAGAAAGGGAAAAGATAAGAGAAATCCTGGCTTCAAGAAGAAAGGCTTAGTCGTCAAAAAGTTATTGAAAGTACGTAGTTCTTACTCAATTGCCTGGGCCTGCACACTAGTCCCAAGATGATCCCCCATAAGCTGCGCATGTTTGCGTGAAACAGGTTCCTCTAAGCCTGGCAGAAGTTTGCTGCCTTCCAAAAGCAGCTATCGGATAGCTGTTTGGTTATGTCGCACTGCCAGCTTGGGAAGGGAACTTGGGAATTTAATACTCACAGAGCATCCCCAGGAGAAAGACCAGCTCAGATCAGGTGACTTCGAACCTGGCTGGAATAATTACACACCTTCACTTCATAACAAAAAGAGATACCCGTTCAGTAACCTTAGAGGGGGATTTGACGTTTAAATTGTTAACAGACTTTGGATCAGAGAAATATTTGACAGGGAAAAGCAAACATTCTTCAGATGAGCTTTATGGTGGGTTGGAAGTTCTGAAAAAGCTCACGGTTTGATGAAAGCCATGCCATCCTCCCTCCTACACACCTGGAGGGAGCAATCATCTGCACTGGTGAGAGAAAGGTCTCTTGACTTAGGATCGTGGCTCATGGTACAATTATGCAGCGCTGACAAAAAAAAAAAAAAACAGGGATTAATATGGGGGATCGTAAAATGCTTTTACAGAGGTGTGTAAGAAGAAATATTTCAGAGCAGGTTAAGAGGGGACCAGGTATTTCAAGCCTGTTTAATAAGAGCTACAGGCAGAGCATCCAGGCTGCTTCTGTCTGGGGGAGGAAAGCTAGCCCAAAGATGAAATAAAGATAGGGGAGCCGAGACGAGGAGTGCCTAGAATGTCAGCATGAAGACACAGTGACAAGTTTGGAAACCAGTGAATTAGAATGGGGCAGGGAGCTAAAATTATCTCTCGCTAAAGAGTCTGAGAAGTTGTTACTGTTAACATACATCATTTGCAGGCTTGGCACAGTAGCTCATGCCAGTAATGCCAGCACTTTGGGAGGCCAAGGTGGGAGGATTGCTTGAGCCTAGGAGTTTGAGATCAGCCTGGACAACATAGCAAGACCCTATCTCTACAAAAAATGTTAAAAATTAGCCAGGTGTGGTGGTTCACACCTATAGTCCCAGCTACTCAGAAGGCTGACGTGGGAGGGTCACTTGAGCCCAGGAGGTCAAGGTTGCAGTGAGCTATGATCATACCACTGCCCTCCAGCTTGGGAAACAGAGCAAGACCCAGTCTCTTAAAAAACAAACAAAAAACAAAAACAACAACAAAAACAAAAACTCTATATACACACATGTACATATAGACACACATCATTTGCAGTTGAAAAAAAAAATGGCTAAACTCTCCACAGCCTCATCCTATAAACACACAGCGGCAACAACTCAACTAGAATTCAAAGCAACAAATAAACACAAGACCAAACCACCTCCTGGCCTAGACCGCAAGTGTCTCTCCTGATCCCTGCCTGGAGTATTAAGAGAAATGCTGGGAACAGTCATTAACTCAGTGAGCTTTCATTTTTGCATAATAGAGCCCCCCCACCTTTTTTTTTTTTTTGAGATGGAGTCTTGCTCTGTCACCCAGGCTGGAGTGCAGTGGCACGATCTTGGCTCACTGCAACCTCCACCTCCCGGGTTCAAGCAATTCTCCTGCCTCAGCCTCCCGACTAGCTGGGACTACAGATGAGTGCCACCACGCCCAGCTAATTTTTGTATTTTTAGTAGAGACAGGGTTTCACCATGTTGGCCAGGATGGTCTCGATCTCTTGACCTTGTGATCTGCCCACCTCGGCCTCCCAAAGTGCTGGGATTACAGGCGTGAGCCACTGTGCCCAGCAACAGAGTCCATTTTAATCTAACCTAACTGTGCTGTCAGCTAAGCCTTTTCCTGGACAGGCTGTCTTCTAACATCTCGGCCTTTATATTAACCCAATTGTATCCTCTGCTCATTTCCATTATTTTCCCTGTAACTTCGTGATGACTTCTCAGGTTCTATTTGGGGTTTCCTTGCAGTATTTAATCTCTGAGCCTACACCATCCAATACAGCAGCCATTAGGCACATATAGGTACTGAGCACTTGAGATGAGCTCTTAGGTGTAAAATTTGCATCGTATTTAAAAGACCTAATAAGACATTTTTAACCATTTAAAAAATGTTACTTACACATTGAAATGAGACTATTTGGAGTGTATTGGGTTAAATAACATGTATTATTAAAACTAATTTCATCTGTTTCTTTTTACTTTTTCAATGTGGCTATTAGAACATTTTATTTTAATACTGTAAGTATTTCTTAAATTTCAACTCTTTAATTTTTTTATTTTTTTGAGATGGAGTCTCGCTCTCTTGCCAAAGTTGGAGTGCAATGGTGCGATCTCAGCTCACTGCAACCTCTACCTCCCGGGTTCAAGCAATTCTCCTGCCTCAGCCTCCCGAGTAGCTGGGATTACAGGTACCTGCCACCATGACTGGGTAATTTTTATATTTTTAATAGAGACACAGTTTCACCATACTGGCCAGGCTGGCCTCGAACTCCTGGCTTCAAGTGATCCGCCCACCTTGGCCTCCCAAAGCGCTGGGATTACAGGCATGAGCCACCACGCCCTGCCCAAGACTTTTTATTTCATTTTTTTCAATATTTTTCTTTTAGAAACTGGCCTCGCTCTGTCACCCAGGCTGCCAGGCTGGAGTGCAGTGGCACCACCATAGCTCACTATAGCCTCGACTTCCTGCGCTCAAGCCATCCTCCCAGGTCAGCCTCCTGAGCAGTTAGGATCCCAGGCACACACTGCATGCCTGGCTAAGTTTAAAATTTTTTCTGTAGAGATGAGGTCTTGCTATGTTGCCCAGGCTGGTCTTGAACTCTGGCCTCAAGGGATCCTCCCACCCTGGCCTCCTGAAATGCTGGGATTAAAGGCATGAGCCACTGAGCCTGGCAGTTTTTTCATTTCCACATTATTGTCTTAGTACTCTGAAACTGGTAAAAATGATTACTCTTTTCACTGTATTACCACTGTCATTGGTCTAGTGCAAACACTGTACATTGCTATTTGTAGTGGCTGGAATATTATTAATATACCTGGTATGTTTGCAAGTCTCTTCGCTTCCCAGTGGCAGCAGAACATAGTGGAGAAGCATGCTAGCGCCTCCATCCAGCTGTGTGACCTCAAAGAGGTGGTCCAACCTCTCTGATCTTCCTAATACCTACAAAATTGTACTGATCATTATAGAATCAGCTTGGTAAGTTTGTTGGTGAGTGTAAAACAAGTGTCTGGAGCATAGTGGATGCTCAATAAACATTTGACATAGTATTGGCAGCTGGGTGTTTGGTTCCCAATCAAGAATATGACTTGGGGGTATTGGATTAGATACCTTTCAAATCTCAATTTCTATGATTCTCTGGGATACAATGAAATGATAAAATGTACTTTCATTTTGGTTTTGCTAAAACCACTTGCACAGTGGACAGCTGCATGAAGGATGCTTCTGCCGGTCTTCATCATGTTACAGCTATCAGAACAATGAGGGGCTTCTTTGCAGAGCCTCCATTGATTTGTTTCAATAAATTAACTTCTAGGCCAAGCACAGTGGCTCACGCCTGTAATCTCAGCACTTTGGGAGGCCGAGGAGGGCAGATCACAAGGTCAGGAGTTCGAGACCAGCCTGGCCAAGAGACCAATCTGGCCAATATGATGAAATCCCGTCTCTACTAAAAATACAAAAATTAGCTGGGCGTGGCGGCAGGTGCCTGTAATCCCAGCTGCTTGGGAGGCTGAGGCAGGAGAATTGCTTGAACCCGGGAGGCAGAGGTTGTAGTGAGCCAAGATCGCGCCATTGTACTCCAGCCTAGGTGACAGAGTGAGACTCTGACACACATACAAAAAATTAACTTCTTTGGGAAGCATACTTCTGGGTAGACATCCACTAAATGGGACTCGAAGCAGATCAAGGAAATTAATGGACATGATTTTGTTTTGCAACCCCATAAAGGAGAATAAATAGATAACCAGATATTATGTGAAAAATGCTTCTGTGGTCAAATGTGTTTCCAAACCTTGCCTGCCTACTATGACCTCCTCTTAGAGATGCACAACACACTTCCTGCTTATTAATAGCTCAGAGCAGCTTTGTCCAATAGAAATATAATCTCTGTCCAATAGAAATATAATGTGAGCCACAGCTGAATGTAACATTTTTGACGTGGGATCATCTAGGTACCCATCAACAGTGGATTGAATAAAGAAAATGTGGTGTATATACACCGTGGAATACTATACAGCCATAAAAAAGAACAAGCTCCCGTCCTTTGCAGCAACAAAGTCGCATCTGGAGGCCATTATCCTAAGCGAATTAACACAGAAACAGAAAATCAAATACTGCATGTTCTCACTTATAAGTGGGAGCTGAACTTTGGGTACACATGGACATAAAGATGGGAACAGTAGACACTAAGGACTCCAAAAGGGGGAAAGGAGGGAGGAGGCAAGGAGATAAGGGCTGAAAACCCACCTGTTGGGTGATATGCTCAGTACCTGGGTGATAGGATCAATCGTACCCCAAACCTCAGGATCATGGAAATATACTAAACCTGAACATATACATCCTGAATCGAAAATAAAAGTTGGAGACAGAGTTGAGACTCTGTCTCAAAATAAATTTATTTATCTATTTAAAAAAATAAAAAGTGTTGAGCTTTTCTGATCCTAGGGCCAGAGAGCAGCAGGGAGAATAGTGTTATATTCAGCTGTGGTTTCTGCAGTGATGCCTGGCGCCCCCACAGCATTTAATATTTTGAGAGTGTTTAGCTCTGTTAATTCCTGCCTTTTGCAGGATATAGAGAAAGAAACAGAAGCACAGAGCTGATGAGCTGCTCCTCCTCCCCTGGGCCAGAGCACAGACTCCAGCAACAGGATCCTGACTCAGAGCATTAGGTTATGCTGCCTCCTACCGGCCATAGTGGGGATCTGCACAAAACCCACAGGTCTCATCTGGATTAATACACAGACTTTTTTAAAGAGCGGGGAGGGGAATCTCGTCTAAATATGTCTGCAGTCTCCAGATTGAGAAATGCCATTCTAAATCAATCAAGTGACAAAGTTCACATATCAACCAAGCCTCAAATTCTAAGAGGTGCTTTTCATGGGAGACCTTGCAAGGCAGGGTGTTTTCTTTGTTCTCAGGATTATCCACTTTGTGTATATTTTCCACAATAAACCTCACAGTCATGGTGACCTTTTGCCAGTCACCTGTCTACTTGGCTTTCGAAGCTGTTTATAACTCCATTCTTACAGAAACATACTTTTCCCCCAGGTTCTGTGAAACTGTACTTATTTCTCTCCTTCACCTTATATAAGTTTCTGTCTTTTCCCATCTAGAACAGGGGAGGATATCATTGCTGTGTCTCAACACTCTGTCCTTTACACTTCTTTTTTTTGTTGTATTTTTTTTTAGACAGGGTCTTGCTCTGTCACCTAGGCTGCAGTGTAGTAGCACAGTCATACCTCACTGCAACCTTGATCTCCTGGGATCAAGTGATTCTCCCATCTCAGCCTTCTGACTGCTGGGACTATCGGTGCACACCAAAATGTCCAGCTAATTTTTAAATTTTTTTGTAGAGATGTGGTTTTTCTGTGTTGCCCAGGTGGGTCTCGAAATCCTGGACTCAAGTGATTCCCCACCTCAGCCTCCCGAAGTGTTGGTATGATAGGCATGAGCCATCAGGCCTGGTCTTAAAATACTTTCTTTTTTTTTTTTTTTTTAAATAATGATGGGGTCTTCCTGTGTTGCCCAGGTTGGTCATGAACTCCTGAGCTCAAGCAATGCTCCCAACTCAGCCTCCCAAACTGCTGGGATTAGAGGCATGGGTGCCCAGCCTTTCTTAGTTTTTTAAAACAAATAAAATGTGTGCTGGGCGAAGTGGTTCACGCCTGTAACCCCAGCATTTTGGGAGATCGACACGGGCAAATCACCTGAGGTCAGGAGTTCAAGCAGCCTGGCCAACATGGCGAAACCTCGTCTCTACTAAAAAGACAAAAATTAGCCAGGCATGGTGGTAGGCGTCTGTGGTCCCAGCTACTCGGGAGGCTGAGGCTGGAGGATCGCTTGAATCCAGGAGAGAGAGGTTGCGGTGAGCCGAGATCGCGCCACTGCACTCCAGCCTGGGCGACAGAGTGAGACTCTATCTTAAGTAAATAAATAAATAAATAAATATAAATAAAATGTTATGAAGTTCAAGCATAACCTCTACTTCTGGCTTTTCTCCCTCCCTCCCAAAAGTCAGAATATCATGCATTTTATGTGAGTCCTTCTCATTCTGGTCATAGATAAACACATTCAGTAAGTATGTAGTAGTATTATTATTTAGTGTTTTCAGATTTCACGAACGGCATCATATAATGCATTTTATCTTGCACTTGTTCTGTTCACTTAACACTATGCTTTTTAATTATAGTAAAATATACACAGCATAAAATTTACCATTTTAGGCCAGGCACAGTAGTTCACGCCTGTTATCCCAGCACTTTGGAAGGCTGAGGAGGGCAGATCACCTGAGGTCGGGAGTTCAAGACCAGCCTGGCCAACATGGAGAAACCCCGTCTCTACTAAAAATACAAAACTAGCCAGGCGTGGTGGTGCATGCCTGTAATCCCAGCTACTTGGGAGGCTGAGGCAGGAGAATCACTTCAACCTGGGAGGCAGAGGTTGCCGTGAGCTGAGATCACGCCACTGCACTCCAGCCTGGGCAACAAGAGTGAAACTCCGCCTCAAAAAAAAAAAATACCGTTTTAACCATGTTAAGCGTACAGTTCGGTAGCATTAAGTACATTCACACTATTGGGCTACCATCACCACCACCGATCTCCAGGACTTTTTCATTATCCTAAATTGAAACTCCAAACTTATTAAACAGCTTCCTTAACATCGTTTTAAGGTTCCTTTATGCTGATACATTTAGAGTTGCTTCATAATTTTGACTGCTATATAGTATTCTGTGATATGAATGTGCAACATTTATTTTTTCTACTCCTTTTTTTGTTTTTGTTTTTTGTTTTTTTGTTTTTTTGTTTTTGAGACAGACTTTCGTTCTTGTTGCCCAGGCTGGAGTGCAGTGCTGTGATCTTGGCTCACCGCAACCTCCGCCTCCCAGGTTCAAGCAATTCTCCTGCATCAGCCTCCCAAGTAGCTGGGATTACAGGTGCCCGCCACCACGCCCGGCTAATTTTGTATTTTTAGTAGAGACGGGGTTTCTCCATGTTGGTCAGGCTGGTCTTGAACTCCTGATCTCAAGTGATCCACCAGCCTTGGCCTCCCAAAGGGCTGGGATTTCAGGCGTGAGCCACCATGCCCGGCCTTCTACTCCTTTTTCAATGAACATTTATTTCCGATTATTTGCTATTACAAACATCTTCGTATGCAACTCTGTGCACGAACATCCACCTAGAAGCGGCACTAATGAATCAGAGGATATATGTGTCTTCACCTCTACTAGAAAGTATCCAATTGCCCTCCAAAACAGCTTTACTGATGTACAGTCCTGCCCTGAGCATAAGAGACCTCTGATTTCCCCATGTTCCTCACAATATGTGATCAAGACTCACTGGACTTAATTTTTGCCAGTGCAGTGGCTGTAAAGTGATATCTAGCTTTAATTTGCATTCTCCTGATTACTGGTGAGGTTGAGCATCTTTTCGTGTATTTATTTATTTATTTAGAGACAGAGTTTCACTCTTGTTGACCAGGCTGAAGTCCAATGGCACAATCTCGGCTCACTGCAACCTCTGCCTCCGGGGTTCAAGCTATTCTCCTGCCTCAGCCTCCCAAGTAAGTGGGATTATAGGCGTGTGCCACCACACCTGGCTAATTTTGTATTTTTAGTAGAGACAGGGTTTTTCCATGTTGGTCAGGCTAGTCTTGAACTCCCAGCCTCAGGTGATCCACCCCGCTCTGTCTCCCAGTGTGCTGGGATTACAGGCGTGAGCCACCGTGCTCTGCCTCATGTATTTATTCGCAACTTAGATGGCTTCTTTTGTGAATTCCCTGTTCATAACTTTGTTATTTTTTGATTGGATATATTTTTATTGATTTTTAGTTCTTTACATATTCTAGAAAGTGTTCCTCCTTTGTTGATTATATGCAGTGTGACTATCTACTCTCATTCTGTGGCTTGTCTTTTTTTTTTTTTTTCGAGACAGGGCCTTGCTCTGTCACCCAAGCTGGAGTGCAGTGGTACAATCTTGGCTCACTGCAGCCTTGGCTTTCAGGCTTCAGTAATACTCCCATTTCAACCTCCCCAATAGCTGGAACTACAGGCGTGCACTACCATGTCTGGGTAACTTTTCTGTCATTTTTTGTAGAGATGGGGTTTCACCATGTTTGCCAGGCCAACCTCGAACTCCTGAGCTCAAACGATCAGCCCACATTGGCCTCCTAAAGTGCTCAGATTACAGACTTCAGCCACGGTGCCTGGTCTGGCTTGTCTTTTAATGTGGTTTAAGTACCTCTTTATTACACAAAAAGTGTAAGCTTTAATAGAGTCAAGTTTATCAAAATTTTTCCTTCTGATTTGTGCTTTTTGTATCTTAAGAAATCTTTCACAGGCCTAGTGCGGCGGCTCAAGCCTGTAATCCCAGCACTTTGGGAGGCTGAGGCAGGCCGATCACCTGAAGTCAGGAGTTTGAGACCAGCCTGACCAACATGGTGAAACCCCGTCTCCACTAAATTTCCAAAAATTAGCTGGGTGTAGTGGTGCATGTCTGTAATCCTAGCTACTCAGGAGGCAAAGGCAGGAGAATCGCTTGAACCTGGGAGGCAGAATTTGCAAGTGAGCCGAGATCTTGCCACTGCACTCTTTTTGAGACTCTGTCTCAAAAAAAACAAGAAAAGAAAAAATTCTTCTCCCTCTGAAGTCAAAGTCTCATATTTTTGAAATGCAAAGGTGTACTTTTATTATAAGACTCCTAATTGTCTTGTAAACAGCATAATTATATTGCACTGATTTGCATGTGTGTGTATGAAAAGCATTAAATTATTAGACATATACGCTTTAACTATACCGCTTATGTTTGTAATCGTTGGCAGTTTTAATTTTTTTTAATTAAAAAGAGAGGAGGACCACTTGAGGCCAGGAGTTTGAGACCAGCCTAAGCAACACAGAGAGACCCTGTCTCTATTAAGAAAAATAAAAATAATTTAGCTAGGTAAGGTGGTGTGCACCTGTAGTCCCAGCTCCTCAGGAGGCTGAGACAGGACCACTTGAGCGAAGGAAGGAGTTTGAGATAAAAATGGGTTATGATTACACCACTGTACCCAGCCTGTGCAACAGAACAAGACCCTTTCTCTAAAAATAATTAATTGATTAATTAAAGCACAAAATCTCAAAAAAAACTGGAAGAGATGCTGGTTGTTCTTGACGTCTTTGAGTCTCTGGCATTCACCTTTCACATTTCTTTTTTTTTTTTTTCTTTTTTGAGATGGAGTCTCACTCTGTCGCCCATGCTGGAGTGCAGTGCTGCAATCTCAGCTCACTGCAACCTCCACCTCCAGGGTTCAAGCGATTCTCCTGCCTCAGCCTCCTGAGTAGCTGGAATTACAGGAGCGTGCCACCACGCCCAGCTAATTTTTGTATTTTTAGTAGACACATGGTTTCACCATGTTGGTCAGGCTGGTCTCGAACTCCTGACCTCAGGTGATCCACCCACCTCGGCCTCCCAAAGTGCTATGATTACAGGCATAAACCACCACACCTGGCCCACCTTTCACATTTCAAGGGTGATAATGAGAGTATTGGTGAGCCATAACTAAGTTTGATTTTTGGGACATGGAAGCACCTTGGCATTTACAGGAATTTCAGAGCAGGAGGCATTGCAAAAGGCAGGACTTTCTTTCACCAGCCAGGGGGAGGGTTCTTGGAGTCTTGACAATGGGTTAATGACAAGGCCGTTAACACGTACTTCACCACTGGCCGAGCTTGGTTACTTGGGCTCAAGGAATGGGGGCAGTTTGAGACCAGTGTGACCAACATGGTGAAACCCCAACCCTACTAAAAATACAAAAAATTAGCTGGGCATGGTGGTGCGCCCCTGTAATCCCAGCTGCTTGGGAGGCTGAGGCAGGAGAATTACTTGAATCCAGGAGGTGGAGGTTGCAGTGAGCCGAGATTGCGCCACTGCACTCCAGCCTGGGTGACAGAGCAAGATTCTGCTTCAAAAAAGAAAAAAAAAAAGAAGGCCAAGCACGGTGGCTCATGCCTGTAATCCCAACACTTTGGGAGGCTCAGGCAGGTGGATCACTTGAGGTCAGGAGTTTGAGACAAGCCTGGCCAACATGGTGAAACCCCATCTCTACTAAAAATAGAAAAATTAGTCAGGCACGGTGGTGCGCGCCTATAATCCCAGCTACTTGGGAGGCTGAGGCAGGGGAATCACTTGAACCCAGGAGGCGGAGGTTGCATTGAGCTGAGATTGGGCTACTGCACTCCAGCCTGGGCAACAGAGTGAGACTCCACTTCAAAAAAGAAAAGATAAAAAAGGGTTGGGGCGGGGCACCTCCAGGTTTTCAGACTTGGGTGTGGCTTTATCTGAGCTGTGCTTCGGGATGGTATCTTGGGGCAGAGGCGTAAGAGGATAGGTAGAGTAGGGAAGCAGAGACTTCAGTTAGGAGACCACTGCTGGTCATTCAGACAAATGGAATGTGAATGAAGGTTAAATTCGTGGAGAAGGACAAATGTGGATGGAGTTGAGTAATATTCAGAAAAGCAGAATCAACAAGAAGCCAGACTGAGCTGAGGAAATCACCACCAACAAATGGTCAGGGGCGCCCCCCACCCCGCACCAAATGAATCACAGAATCTTCAGCGTGGAAAGGATCTTCATGCTCAAGTACAACAACACATCTGCTGCTTGGACCCCCCTGCTAAGCATTGAAATAGAAACATTCCCCTCGCTCTCTTTAAAGAATACAGAGCACCTCATAGGATGGAGGACTGGCTGTGCTCGGAGAAATTCCAGCCAAGGAGGTCAAACCTGAACAACATCCAAAATGAGAAATGGTCCCTGCAATCCAGATGTGGGAGCTCTGAGAGAGTTGAAATCTATTTTTTTCCTTCCACCATTATTTATTTATTATCCTCATCTTTTTTCTTTTTTCTTTTGGACAGCGTTTCACTCTATCACCCAGGTTAAAGAGCAGTGGCCAGATCTCGGCTCACTGCAACCTCCGCCTCCCGGGTTCAAGAAATTCTTCTGCCTCAGCCTCCAGAGTAGCTGGGATTACAGGCACCAGCCACCAGGCCCGGCTAATTTTTGTATTTTTTGTAGAGATGGGGGTTCACCATGTTGGCCAGGCTAGTCTCAAACTCATGGCCTCAAGTGATCCACCCTCCTCGGCATCCCAAAGTGCTGGGATTACAGGTGTGAGCCACTGCACCCAGCCCCTCTTATCCTCATCTTGCATCCAGTCTGTATACAACTTTGAGTCTGGAGTCCCTGGAGTCGAGTCTACTCCTGAACCATGTTCAGCATAAGGGCTGGCGACACTGCTGACAGAGAAAGTATCCAACAAGGACAGTCACAGTTGGGTGGGATGAACTCACGTTGTAATTATTTTCCCAAGTGGCCTCTAACCAGAGGAAATAATTGAGGAAGACGGTAATCATGGGGCAAAGGGTAAAGTCTGCCATGGATTAAACATTGGAGACAAAGAATGTGGAGAAATAGCTGCTCCCTTGCTTGGAGAACAATGAACTCTAGTTAACTGAGGACTTAGTTCTGGATTCCATTTTTATTCAAGAATTTCTTAGAGCAGGAAGTCAGCCTGAAACATACATCCACATATACTTGTCTTTTCAAACTATTTTCTCTGCATCTCTCTCCTCCTTACTTTTCCCTCTTTCTTCCCCTCCCCTACCCAATAAACACGAGGTGGGAGCTGGATGCTAACAATCATCATTCAATACAATGTGACCACATGCAGATAGTCTCCAACACTGGGGGACAAAGAAGAGCCTATCACAATTTCATTCTGAAAAACGTGAAGAGGCTGGTGCATAACTCACGCCTGTAACCCCAGCACGTTGGGAGGCACAGGCGGGAGGATCACATGAAACCAGGAGTTCAAGACAAGCCTGGCCAACATGGTGAAACCCCATCTCTACTAAAAATACAAAAATTAGCCAGGTGTGGTGGTACGTGCCTGTAGTCCCAGCTACTCGGGAGGGTGAGGTAGGAGGATCGCTTGAAACCAGGAGACTGAGGTTGCAATGAGCCGAAATCGTGCCACTGCACTCCAGCCTGGATGATGGAACAAGACTCTGTCTCAAAAAAAAAAAAAGAAAAAAAAAAGAAAGAAAGAAAAAGAAAAATGTGGAGGATGCATCTAGACCGAGGTGATCATGACTTTTCATTTAGGCTGGGCACGGTGGCTCACGCCTATAATCCCAGCATTCAGGGAGGCCAAGGCGGGAGAATTGCTTGAGCCCAGGAATTCGAGATCAGCCTGAGTGGCAAAGCAAAACTCCATCTCTACAGAATTTTTTTTTTTTTTGAGACGGAGTCTCGCTCTGTCACCCAGGCTGGAGTGCAGTGGCGTGATTTCAGCTCACTGCAAGCTCCGCCTTCCGGGTTCACACCATTCTCCTGCCTCAGCCTCCCGAGTAGCTGGGACTACAGGCGCCTGCCACCACGCCCCGCTAATTTTTTGTATTTTTAGTAGAGACGGGGTTTCACCGTTTTAGCCAGGATGGTCTCAATCTCCTGATCTCGTGACCGCCGGCCTCGGCCTCCCAAAGTGCCGGGATTACAGGCGTGAACCACCGCGCCCGGCCAGAAATTTTTTTTAAAGTAGCTGGGCATGGTGGCGTGCAACTGTAGTCCCAGCTACTCATGAGGCTGAGGTGAGAGTATCACTTGATCCCAGGAGTTCAAGGCCGCAGTGAGCTATGATGGTGCTACTGCACTCCATCCTGGGCCACAGAATGAGACCCGGTCTCAAAAGAAAGGACTTGGACTTAGATAATAACCAGAAGTGGGTGGCTACCAAGATCTCATTTAGAAGAGGGGCATCTGCACTTTCTGAAACGATGTGCAAGATTTCACTCATTTTAATTAGTGGAGGCAGGACGGGGCGGGGGTGGAGTCGATGAAAATGCAATCAAAGAAAATAAACCAGGTGTTTTTCAATATTATCTTTCACCTATCAAAAAAGGGGGAAACAATTTTTATTTTGTTTTTCTTTTTTGAGACGGAGTCTCGCTCCCTCACCCAGACTGGAGTGCAGTGGCGCGATCTCAGCTCACTGCAACCTCCGCCTCCCAGATTCAGGCGACTCTCCAGCGTCAGCCTCCTGAGCAGCTGGGATTACAGGCACACACCACCGTGCCCGGCTAATTTTTGTACTTTTAGGAGAGAAGGGGTTTCACCATGTTTGCCAGGCTAGTCTCAAACTCCTGACCTCAAGTGATCCGCCCACCTCGGCATCCCAAAGTGCTGAGATTACAGGCATGAGCCACCACGCCCGGCCAAGAAACAATAATTTTGTAGCCTTTGATATTCTCTGGGTGCAAGGAAATCTTCATTTTATACACAAAAGGAATCATTTTGGGGGGGTTAAAAATGCAGAATTCACTGGGCAAACACCATGACAGGCACGGTGGGATTTTGGTGGAATGTGGCTACGTTCAGGGAGCTGCAGAGCTAGAATCTTGGAAAGCATCTTCTGATTGATTATATTTCAGTGGCGCATACTCCCCTCACCGCATCGCATGGAGGTGTGCTTCCGGCCATGGTCAATCGCATAGATGCCCCCTTGCGTTGCTGTCTAGACTGAGTTCAAGTCCTGTCTCCTGCCTCCGTTCTGCCACCGCGCAGTGGTGTGAGATCTTTTTGTTTTTTGTTTTTTGAGACGGAGACTTGCTTCGTTGCCTAGGCTGGAGTGCAGTGGCGCGATCTCGGCTCACCGCAACCTCCGCCTCCCGGGTTCACGCCCTTCTCCTGCCTCAGCCTCCTGAGTAGCTGGGACTACAGGCGCCCCCCACCACGCCCCGCTAATTTTTTGTATTTTTAGTAGAGATGGGGTTTCACCGTGTTAGGCAGGATGGTCTCGATCTCCTGACCTCGTGATCCGCCCGCCGCGGCCTCCCAAAGTGCCGGGATTACAGGCGTGAGCCACCGCGCCCGGCCGGTTTGAGATCTTTTCTGAGCCTAACTGCAGAGCCGCATGGGTAGCAGCCCTGGGAGAGGGGACAGCAGCGCCACTCAGAGGCCTGGAGGCTGAGTGGGTTTCTAAACTATGGTGGACTCTATGGCGTGTTCTTCATTTAATGAAGGCGTGAAATCATTAATTCACTCCTTCTGAAATCAAACACAAAAGTGCCAAAACCATGACAGGAATTCCTTGTGACCTTTTTTTTCTTTTCTTTTTCCTTTTTTTTTTTTTTTTTTGAGACAGGGTCTCACTCTGTCACCCAGGCTGGAGTGCAGTGGCATGATCACAGCTCACTACAACCTCAACCTCCCGGGGCTCAAGCCATCCTCCCACTTCAGTCTCCTGGTAGTTAGGACCACAGCCATGTGCCACCTTCCCAGCTTTTTTTTTTTTTTTTTTTTTTTGAGACAGAGTTTTACTCTTGTCTCCCAGGCTGGAGTGCAATGGCGCGATCGTGGCTCACTGCAACCTCTGCCTGCCATGTTCAAGTGATTCTCCTGCCTCAGCCTCCCAAATAGATGGAATTACAGGTGCTCGCCACCACGCCCAGCTAATTTTTTGTATTTTTAGTAGAGACAAGGTTTCAATATGTTGGCCAGGCTGGTCTCGAACTCCTGACCTCGTGATCCGCCTGTCTCAGCCTTCCAAAGTGCTGAGATTACAGGCATGAGCTACCACCCCTGGCCATTTTTAAAAACTTTTTTAGAGATGAGGCTTCGCTATGTTGCCCAGACTGGTCTCAAACTCCTGGGCTCAAGCAATCCTCCTGCCTTGGCCTCCCAAATTGCTGGGATTTCAGGTGTGAGCCACTGCGCCCAGCTGTTGTGACCTTTTTTATTTTTGTCAAAAAAGCTATGGTTCTACCAAAGATCGTAAGGCCACTGATGAAGAGGAATGATGATTACTGAAATTACTGTAATATTAATGAGTTAATGGAATAGTAATGTCCTCCCTATATTTCAAAGGTCTCCCTCAAATGCAACTGCTGTTCTCACAGTACTTACCACCATACTTAGGCTGGGAGTCACAGACCCCTCCGAGGAGCTAGTGGAAGCGAGGAACTCTCTTCCCAGAAATGACGAGGAAACACAATTTTGTTCATCATTTCAGAAGGTTCATGGATTCCCTCCTCTCCCCTCAAATGTAAAATAAAACAAAATGCATCTCCTGCCCGGGTGCGGTGGCTCACGCCTGTAATCCCAGCACTTTCGGAGGCCGAGGCGGGCAGATCACCAGGTCAGGAGATCAAGACCATCCTGGCTAACACAGTGAAACCCTGTCTCTACTAAAAATACAAAAAATTAGCTGGGCGTGGTGGCGGGCACCTGTAGTCCCAGCTACTTGGGAGGCTGAGGCAGGAGAATGGCGTGAACCCAGGAGGTGGAGCTTGCAGTGAGCAGAGATCGTGCCACTGCACTCCAGCCTGGGCGAAAGAGCGAGACTCCGTCTCAAAAAAAAAAAAAAAAATGCATCTCTTGCAATCTCCACTTAGCACTTCATATTTCCACAATTCCCGTCCACTGATTTGGATTCCAACGTTCACGGGATCCCAGTACCCAGCCCAGTGCCTGGAAACTAGTAGTTGATCAGTGCTAAGGCTTATTGTTAACCTGACTTTGTAGGCAAAGGTGGTGGACAAAGACAAATGATATATAGAAGTAGATAGAGGCTGGGCACGGTGACTCACGCCTGTAATCCCAGCACTTTGGGAGGCTGAGGTGGGCAGATCACCTGAGGTCGGGAGTTTGAGACAAGCCTGACCAACATGGAGAAACCAACCCCGTCTCTATTAAAAATACAAAAATTAGCCGGGCATGGTGGCTCATGCCTGTAATTTCAGCTACTCAAGAGGCTGACGCAGGAGAATCACTTGAACCCGGGAGATGGAGGTTGTGATGAGCCGAGATCGTGCCATTGCACTCCAGCCTGGGTGACAAGAATGAAACTCTGTCTCAAAAAAAAAAAAAAAAAAGGAAGTAGGGAGAAAGCTTATTTCTCTTGTTCAAGAAAAAAACTTTATTGGTCTTTCAGCGGTATCCATTTTTGTTGGAATTCAGGTCACTTGGGAATTTCATAGCATGGAAAAACAGGACCAGTTTCTCTTTTTTTATTTTTATTTTTAGAGATAGGCTCTCATTCTGTTGCCCAGGCTGGAGTGCGGTGGCAAGATCATAGCTCTCTGCACCTTGGGCTCAAGCGATCCTCCCACCCCAGCCTCTCAAAAAGTGCTGGGATTACAGTCATGAACCACTGCATCCGGCCCAGTTTGTCTTATACAGAGAGGGATCCAAAACCCTTGCCCTTGGAAGAGTTCAATTGATCTAGAAAGCTATGTAGTTACAAGAATAACCCCAGGCAAGTCCAGGCACCGTGGCTTACGCCTGTAATCCCAGCACTTTGGGAGGCTGAGGCGGGAGGATCATGAGGTCATGAGATTGAGACCATCCTGGCTAACATGGTGAAACCCCACCTCTACTAAAAATACAAAAAAAAATTAACTGGGTGTGGTGGCACACACCCGTAATCCCAGCTACTCTGGAGGCTGAGGCAGGAGAATCGCTTGAACCTGGGAGGCGGAGGTTGCAGTGAGCCGATATCACGCCACTGCACTCCAGCCTTGCCGACAGAGCAAGATTCCGCCTCTAAAAAAATAAAATAAATAAATAAATAACCCCAGGCAGGGGCCTAGGGAAAACAGAGACGGCTCCAAAAGATCAAAATGCAATCTAAAATTTGCCTTAATGGTCTTGCTCTTTTACAGTATCAGCCCACAGGAAAATGCTGGCTTCCAGGGCATACACAGCAGGTGGTCCCAGGCCCTACTTTGGGATATATTCCAGGCTGTGTCACTTTCCCACCTGACCTACCAGGGCCCCCATCTGGCCTTCCTGGTTCTCTGGCTTTCCTTAGCCCTGAATCTATTACCTCGGAACCTCCTGGTTCTGGATCTGAATTTCTGCTCCCCTTAGACACCTACCTTCTGACACTTGTCCCCTGGCCCTAATCCCTGCTGACAGACAATTCTAGAGCTGCAAAGCCAGGTCTACAGGGAGTGGGGTGGTCCTGTGGAAGGAACCAGCCCCAGGGCCACTAGGGTTCCCTTCAATCCAGTGATCTATTTTCTTTTCTTTTTTTTTTTTTTTTTTTTTTGAGACAGAGTGTTGCTCTGTCGCCCAGGCCAGAGTTCAGTGGTGCGATCTCCACTCCCTGCAATCTCCGCCTCCCGGGTTCACGCCATTCTCCTGCCTCAGCCTCCCAAGTAGCTGGGACTACAGGCGCCTGCCACCACGCCTGGCTAATTTTTTGTATTTTTAGTAGAGACGGGGTTTCACCGTGTTAGCCAGGATGGTCTCGATCTCTTGACCTCATGATCCACCCGCCTGGGCCTCCCAAAGTACTGGGATTACAGGCGTGAGCCACGGCACCCGGCTGCAGTGGTCTATTTTCAATTCCTTATCTTACTTTAATTTTCTGTAGATTTGGCAATGTCCGATATTCTTCCCTTCTTGAAATGTTCTTTGTCACCAAATTCCAGAATGTCACTTTCCTGCCATTCCTAGCATATTTCAAGCAGTGTGCTAGGCACTGGGGGCAAAGACATTCCAGACAGTTTCTGCAAGACACTCATGGTTTGATGGGACTTTTGGAGGAACAGGCTAGGTACAGGGAACACCACTGCAAGTCAGCTGGATAGGTTCCATGACGAGGACTGTACAAGGGATAGGGTGGTGCAGAGAATGGAATATTTGTTTCCTTTGACTTTTCTAACAAATAAGCCACAAATTTAGTGGTGCTTATTAAATCTATTAAAAAGATGCAAATCTATTACTTTATAGTTCTGGAGCCCAGAAGTCTAAAATGGGTGGGCAAGCCACGTGTGGTGGCTCGCAGCTGTAATCCCAGCACTTTTGGAGGCTGAGGCCAGTGGATCACCTGAGGTCAGGAGTTCGAGCCCAGCCTGGCCAACATGGAGAAACCCCTGTCTCTACTAAAAATACAAAAAATTAGCCAGGCGTTGTGGCAGGCACCTGTAATCCCAGCTAATGGGGAGGCTGACGCAGGAGAATCGCTTGAACCCAGGAGGCAGAGGTTGCAGTGAGTCAAGATTGCGCCATTGCACTCCAGCCTGGGCAACAAGAGCGAAACTCCGTCTCAAAATAAATAAATAAATAAATAAATAAATAGTAAAAAATATAAAAATAAAAATAGGCCAGGTGCAGTGGCTTATACCTATAATCCCAGCACTTTGGGAGGCCAAGGCAGGCAGATCACCTGAGGTCAGGAGTTCAAGACCAGTTTGGCCAACACGGTGAAACCCCATCTCTACTAAAAATACAAAAATTACCCGGGCATGGTGGCGCATGCCTGTAATCCCAGGCATGTAATCCCTACTCGGGAGACTGAGATGGGAGAATCTCTTGAACCCAGGAGGTAGAGGTTGCAGTGAGCCAAGATCGCACCACTGCACTCTAGCCTGGGCGACAGAGCGAGAGTCCGTCTCAAAAAAACAAACAAACAAATACATACATACATACATAAAAATAAAAATGGGTGGGCAGAGCCGTGTGTCTTCTGGAGGCTTCAGGGGAGAATCCGTTTCTTATGGACCCTCCTGTGTCCCTTGTGATGACATTGAGCTCACCTGGATAATCTGGGATAGTCTCCTATCTCAAGATCGTTAGTTTAATCACATCTGCAAAGCCCTTTTTGCCACGGAAGATACTATGTTCATTCACAGGTTCTGGAGATGAGGATGAGGGTATCTTCAGGGATTATTACTCTGTCTACCAAGAATAGGGTGTTCACTCTCCCTAGAGTATCTAGAGAGCCCTTCAGAGAGGAGACTCTTGGAGCTGAATCTCACAAGTTTAGTTATTATCCATTTTCACCAGAAGTGAGGAGGGTGGAAGAGGGAGAGCAGGTGAAGAAATAGTACTTGCTGAGACACTTCGTGAAGAAAGAGAAGTGAGCCCAGAGATCTGGAAGCCACTCAGTGTGGCTGTAGGGCTGAAGAGGGTAGATTAAATTAGAGAAGAAAAGTAGAAGCCTGGCTGCGGTGGCTCATGCCTGTAATTTCTGCACTTTGGGAGGCCAAGGCAGGAGGATCTCTCAAGCCCAGAAGTTCAAGGCTGTAGTGAGCTGTATGGTGACACCACTGCATTCCGACCTGGGTGACAGAGCCAGACCAAGTCTCAAAAAAGAAAGAAAAGTAGGCCGGGCGCTGTGGCTCATGCCTGTAATCCCAGCACTTTGGGAGGCCAAGGCGGGCGGATCACCTGAGGTCAGGAGTTTGAGACCCGCCTGGCCAACATGGTGAAACCCCGTCTCTACTAAAAATACGAAAATTAGCCAGGCGTGGTGGCGGGCATCTGTAATCCCAGCTACTCGGGAGGCTGAGGCAGGAGAATTGCTTGGACCCAGGAGGTGGAGGTTGCAGTGAGCTGAGATCACACCACTGCACTCCAGCCTGGGTAACACAGTGAGACTCTGTTAAAAAGGAAAGGAAGGGAGGGGAGGAGAGGGGAGGGGGAAAGAGAGAAAGAAAGGAAGGAAGGGAGGGAAGGAGGGAAGGAGGGAGAGAGGAAGGAAGGAAGGAAGGAAAGAAGGAAGGAAGGGAGAGAAGGAGGCTTGGTCACAAAGCGTTTATTTTTTTGTTTGCTTAGTTTTTTACCATACTAAGGAGTCTGAAATTTATCCTGTAGCTATTATTTACTTGGTCAGTGCTATTACTTCAGCCTGTGCTATTGTTTCTTTAAACTTTTATTTAAATTGACTCACTTTTGTTCTGAACAATAATGTCTGTGAAATCACAGGTTTTATGTTTCAGTTAAATCCTTCCAGTGGGTGTTGAAATGAATACCCCTAACTACAAAAATAAAATATTCTTCCATGCCCTACTTAACTCATCCATGCACACCCACGAATGAAGACCAGACTTTTTGAGAAATGGAGCCACAGGCAACGGGAGCTACTGCGCAGTTTTAAGCAAGGAAAGGACATGATCAGGTTTGCCTCTGATAAATGTCATTCCAGCCGCATGGATCATTTTGGGCTGATGGAAATGAGCAAAACAGCAAAAGACCGTAAATAAGGCTAAGTCCACAACAGTGGGGATGAGAGATGGAGAATATCAAGGTGGTAGAATTGACTCAGAATAGGGACTGGAAAGAGAGGGAGGAGTTCAGCATATGGGCCAGGGTTCCACCACGTGCAACACAGGAGATTGTCCACCAGCCAAGAGAGTACATAGTCGGGGGTGATGGGACAGGGAGAGTGGGAAGGAAAATGATTATTTTGGTCTGGAACATGTTGAATGTGAAGTGTTTGTGTAACACTCAAGTAGGTGCCCAAATGCCTGTGTCTGGGGTCTGGGAACCAGGAATCCTTTAAGGCAGTGTTGTCCACTAGAAAGTGGATGTGACCACATGTGTCATCTTAAGTGTTCAAGTGGCCCCATTTTAAAAAGTAAAAAGAGGCCGGGCATGGTGGCTCACACCTGTATCCCAGGACTCTGGGAGGCCGAGGCAGGTGGATCACGAAGTCAGGAGTTCTAGAGCAGCCTGGCCAACACAGTGAAACCTCATCTCTACTAAAAATACAAAAATTAGCCAGGTGTGGTGGGGCACAGTGGCTCACGCCTATAGTCCCAGCACTTTGGGAGGCTGAGGCGGGTGGATCACGAGGTCAGGAGTTCTAGACCAGCCTGGCCAACACAGTGAAACCTCGTCTCTACTAAAAATACAAAAAATAGGTGTGGCCAGGCATGGTGGCTCACGCCTATAGTCCCAGCACTTTGGGAGGCTGAGGTGGGTGGATCACGAGGTCAGGAGTTCAAGACCAGCCTCGCCAACACAGTGAAACCTCGTCTCTACTGAAAATACAAAAATTAGCCAGGTGTGGCTGGGTACGGTGGCTCACGCCTGTAATCCCAGCACTTTGGGAGGCTGAGGTGGGTGGATCACAAGGTCAGGAGTTCAAGACCAGCCTGGCCAAGATGGTGAAACCCCATCTCTACCAAAAATTAAAAAAAAAAAATTATCCAGGCATGGGGGCGGGCACCTGTTAATCCCAGCTACTCGGGAGGCTGAGGTAGAGAATTGCTTGAACCCAGTAGGTGGAGGTTATAGTGAGCCGAGATCGCCCACTGCACTCCAGCCTGGGTGACAGAGCGAGACTCCATCTCAAAAAAAAAAAAAAAAAAAAAAAGGTTAAAAGAAACAGGTGACATGAATTTTAATTGTGTGTGTGTGTGTGTTTGAGATGGAGTCTTCTTCTATTGCCCGGGTTGCAGTGCATTGGTGTGAACTTGGCTCACTGCAGCCTCCGCCTCCCAGGTTCAAGTGATTATCTTGCCTCAGGCTCCCCAGTAGCTGGGATTATAGGCACCCACCACCATGCCTGGCCAATTTTTTTTTAGATGGAGTCTTACTCTGTCGCCCAGGCTAGAGTACAGTGGCACGATCTCGGCTCACTGCTACCTCCACCTCCTGGGTTCAAGTGATTCTCTTGTCTCAGCCTCCCAAGTAGCTGGGATTACAGGCACCTGCCACCACACCTGGCTTATTTTTTTGTATTTTTAGTAGAGATGGAGTTTCACCATGTTGACCAGGCTGGTCTGGAACTCCTGACCTCAGGTGATCCAGCCGCCTCAGGCTCCCAAACTGCTGGGATTACAGGCATAAGCCACTGTGCCCTGCCTGAAAATTTCAAACAAAAGAGTGGGACTAGCAAATGCTGGAGGCTGGGTGCATGGGCTCCAGACGTAGCCCAAGCTCAAATCCTGGTTTCACTACTTACAGCTGGGCACTGTGGTAGCACTGCCCACGCCATTGACATCTGACTCACTGATCTTACCCAAAGCTGCAGGGGCCAGCCCGCTGAGAGCATCCCACCTCAATCACCTGCCTGCCCAGCACTCCAGGGCAGCTCTGCTGGCCCTGAAGTTCTCAGTCTTGTCCAGTCCAGTGAGAGGACGTGCGGGGAGTTCCGGGGAATTAACATCCAGGGGCAACCCTTAACCACCAAAGGACAGGAGTCAGTGGATAGAGCCGTGGCTTCTTTTCCTGCCAGTAGCATGAGTTTAAGGGGACAGATTTGTTGCTATTGCTGTTGAGACAAATTATCACAAACTTTGTGGCTTTGTCAGAGGCATTTGAACCAGATCAACTCCATCTTGAATGGGAGCTGGGTAAAATGAGGCTGAGACCTACTGGGCTGCATTCCCAGATGGTTAAGTCATTCTAAGTCACAGGATGAGATAGGAGGTCAGCACAAAATCAGGTCATAAAGACCTTGCTGATAAAACAGGTTGCAGTAGAGAAGCCGGCCCAAATCTACCAAAACCAAGATGGTGATGAGAGTGACCTCTGGTTGCCCTCATTGCTACACTCCCACCAGCACCATGACAGTTTACAAATGCCACGGCAATGCAGGAAGTTACCCTATATGGTCTAAAAAGGGGAGGCATGAATAATCCACCACTTGTTTAGTATATCATCAAGAAAGAACCATAAAAATGGGCAACCAGCAGCCCCCAAGGCTGTTCTGTGTATGGAGTAGCCATTATTTTATTCCTTTACTTTCTTAATAAACTTGTTTTTTAAAAATACATACATAAAATTAAATAAACTTGCTTTTGCTATTTTGCTTTGCACTGTGGACTTGCCCTGAATTCTTTCTTTCTTTTTTTTTGAGACAGAGTCTCACTCTGTCACCCAGGCTTGAGTGCAATAGCACAATCTCGGCTCACTGCAACCTCCACCTCCTGGATTCAAACGATTCTCCTCCCTCAGCCTCCCGAGTAGCTGGGATTACAGGCGCCTGCCACTATGCCTGGCTAATTTTTGTATTTTTAGTAGAGACAGGAATTCACCATGTTGGTCAAGCGGGTCTCGAACTCCCGACCTCAGGTGATCCACCCGCCTCGGCCTCCCAAAGCGACGGGATTACAGGCGTGAGCCACCGCACCCAGCTTGCCCTGAATTATTTCTTGTGCGAGATCCAAGATTCCTCTCTTGGGGTCTGGATCAGGGCCCCTCTCCTATAACAGCTTGAATTATGATCTGACAGTTCTGTGGACCAGAAGTCTGACACAGATATCATTAAGCTAAGATCAAGCTATCAGCTAGATGTATTCTCTTCCAGAGGCTTTAAAGGAGAACCTGCTTGTCTTTTCCATATTCTAGGGGGCACCTGTTTTCCTCAGTTTGTGGCCGCTTCCTCCATCTTCAAAGCTAGCAATGTCAGTCTAATTCTTTCTCACGCTCCCATCTCTCCAGCTCTCTATTCCCTCTTCCACTTTTCAGGAGGCTTGTGATTACCTTGGATCCACCTAGATTATCCAAGATAACCACCCTATTTTAAGCTCAAATGATGAGCAAATTTTTCTTTAATTATTTTAAGAGACAGGGTCTCTGTCACCCAGGCTGGAGTGCAGTGGTACAATCATACCTCACTGTGTCCTTGAACTCCTAGGCTCCAATAATCTGCCAGCCTCAGCCTCCCGAGTAGCTGAGACTAGAGGCATGAACTACAACACTTGGCTCTGATCAGTACATTCAATTCCTGCAACTGAAATTCCTCTTTGCCTTGTAACATGACATAGTCACAGGCTCTGGGGCTTGGGACATAGACCTACTGGAGTTCGTCATTCATCTGCCTGCCCTAGGGGGTCCGTACCATTTCTCAGAGCAGCCTCAACAGGGCAGAGTCCCAGGTGCCCACGGTTGGTAGGCCACTCTAACATTCCTTCCGGCTTTCTCCTTTCTGTTTCCTCCTGTCTGCTTCATGACTTATGTTTCCTAGGATCACCTCCCAAATTAACTAACTCCCTTCTCCCTAATCCTTGTCTCCAGGTCTACTTTGGGGGAGCCCAAACTAAGACAGTGACCTTGGATAAATTACTTAATTAGTCGGAACCCTGGTTCCCATCCCCATGAAAGGAAAACCTACCGCAGGGGACTGTGGGGAGAATTCTAAAAGCAGTGCTTTAAAACACTGTGCAGTGGGGTATGTAGTGAATCCTCAACAAAGGTTAGCTATTGTTGGAGGGGTGGAAGTCAGGGTACAGGCAGGGACCAGCCTGGGACCGGCAGAGGGCAGTCCTGTCTCTGAGACACTGACCCTGGAGGTCAGAGGAGTCTAGTGGGGCCAGGGAAGGGTGGGGGAATTACAGGGTTTCCCCTGAGGACATGAATTCTTTTCTGTAAGGTGCATCTGCTCTTGAAGGCAGCAAAGTGTGAACCAGCCCTTGGGGAGAATAATGAACATCAGGAATAACATACTCAATGATTTCTGAGGTGTCAGAAAAGCCCGGCTGGCACTGGGGGCTGACATGCCCATCATGGCAGGATCTCTAAGTTCTGAGTTTCCTCCAGCCCAGTGGAAGGACAAAGAAGGCAGGTAGAGGGGCTTAAGTTTGGACATGTGGGGGTGAACATGGTCAATGAAATGGGTTGAGGTGAGATGAGGCTGCAGAACTACCCTCAGACGGTCCAAGCTGAACAGAATGAAACGGATCCACTTCAGGAGACTGGTGGCCCCCATGAAGTTAGAGTGTGGGTGTCCTATGTAAAGAAGGGAGAGGACTCAGGGACGGGGGAGAGGGTGTTGGTGTTTAAGATTTCCAGGGTTAGCTAAGCATGGTAGTAGTCCCAGCTACTCAGGAGGCTGAGGTGGGAGGATTGCTTGAGCCCAGAAGTTTGAGACCACCTTGGGCAACATAACGAGAGCTCATCTCTAAACGAATAAAAAATGAAAGATTTCCAGGGCCGAGAAGGTTCACAGCACGGCCAAGACAATGGGTGTCTAAAGTGGAGTTAAGGTCAAGGTCATCAGATTTGCACATCCATCATCTAGCAGGTGCTATTCCTGAGAATGGACCCTCTCCATCCCCTGGGATGACAGAGCAGGGGCCACTTTTGAATGGGCATGATTCAAACCATGCAGGGGAGTGACACTTCTGGCAGCAGATGGTGGCAGTGTTGGATGGCATGAGCCCCGAATGAGAAGGGCAGGTGACAGGAAGGTGATGTCACTGGAGCTGCTTTTCTGTTTTGGGGTGAGCAGGATGTGGGGTATAGAACAGGCAGCCTCTCGTCCCTCTGGGTTTCAGAGGAAGTGGAATTCTTAGGTCAGTGTTCTTCAAAAGCATCAGAATCACCCAGGGAGCCTGGCAAAATGGGGATTCTTCACATCCCTTCCCCACCACATACACCTCCGACCTGCTGGAGTCTTTTCCCATGGCTGCCATAACAAAGGACCGCAAGCTGGGTAGTTTAAATCCCGGAGGCTGCTAGCGGGAAGCCAAGGTGTCGGCAGGGCTACGCTCCCTCTGAAAGCTCTAGGGAAGAATTCCTCCTTGCCTCTCCCAGCTTCTGATGCTGACGGCAACCTCCGCTGTAGCTTGTAGCTGCATTGCTCCAACCTCTGTCTCGGTCTTCACATGCATGGCCATCTTCCCTGTGTCTCCTCTGTGCCGCTGTCTCCAAATCTTCCTTTTCTTTTCTTTCTTTCTTTTTCTTTTTTCTTTTTTTTGAGACATCTTGCTCTGTCACCCAGGCTGGAGTGCAGTGGCATGATCCCAGCTCACTGCAACCTCTGCCTCCTGGGTTCAAGCGATTCTTCTGCCTCAGCTTCCCGAGAAGCTGGGATTACAGGCATATGCCACCACGCCCAGCTAATTTTTGTACGTTTAGTAGAGATGGGGTTCGCCATGTTGGCCAGGCTGGTCTCAAACTCCTGGCCTCAAGTGATCTGCCCACCTTGGCCTCCCAAAGTGCTGAGATTACAGGCATGAGCCACCACGCCCAGCCCAAATATTCCTTTTTTTCTAAGAATATGAGCCATAGGATTTAGGGCATATCACAATTGAGTATGACTTCATCTTACCTTGATTAAATCTGCAAATATTTTATTTCCAAGTAAGGCCACATTCACAGGTATGGGGGGCAGTGAGGATTTCAACACACCTTTTGTGGTGGACATAATTCAACCCATTGTATCTGCTAGCTGTAATCTTTCAAGTGAGTGAAGCTGGTAAATTAGTTCTTTTTGTTTTGTTCTGTTTTGTTTGAGACAGGGTCTTGCTATGTTACTCAGGCTAGAGTGTAGTGGCACGATTACAGCTCAATGTAGCCTTGAACTACTGGGCTCAAATGATTTACCTCAGCCTCTGAGGTAGTTAGGACTATAGGCATGCGCCATCACACCTGACTACTTCTTAAATTTTCTGTAGAGACGCGGTTTCATTATGTTGCCCAGGCTGGTCTCAACCTCCTGGCCTCAAGTGATCCTCCTGTCTTGGCCTCCCAAAGCCCTGGGGTTACAGGCACCCTGAGCTACCCTGCTCAGCGGTAAACTGGTATTTTTAATAAGCCCCAACCAGACAATGCAACCCAGGAGAACCATCTCTTGGACGGAACCAGCAGAGCCTGAGAATCCAGCGGGGATGGCTCCCTAGAATGGGGTTCTGGTGAGCCCGGGAGTTGCGGGGGAGCGTAGGACTAGCTCAAAGCAGTACCCAAGGAAGAAGCTCTCATCACCGGCAAAGAAAAGGATGCATGACTCTGCCAGATGATCTGGGCCAAGGCTGTAGTGTGGCCCTGGATGAAGTAAGGCATCTGTGGCTTACGGCCTCTGCGGCAGAGAACTGCTTCCCGGTGAGCTCGTGGTGGGTGGAGGCGGGGAGGAAGAGTCGGTTCTGAGGATGGTGGCCTCCCACCGACGCAGCGGGGATCGGCCTCTGTCCCGCCCAGCCACTTGATTTCCAAGTTCTGCAGAGCTCTGTCCAAGGTCTCTTTCACTTTTTTCCTGAGCTCTCCCTTCGGGGTTAATCTCACCTCTTACGGAGGCTTCGAACACCATTTACATGCTGATGGCACCCAGATTTGCATCTCTGAGCCCCATCCCCACACCAAATTCCGGACCTGTTTCCCTATTAACTTTGGTCTGGAATATCCGGCAGACCTGAGATTTGCAACTCTGAGCCCCACCCCCACACCATCCGGCAGACCTCAGATTTAACATTTCCAAAGCTGAACTCACCCCGAAACTTGTTTGCCTTTCAGCAGTTCTTAGATAAATTATTAGCATCGCTCCTCATTCCCTCCCCCACCCCCCACCCCCGCAAACTGGAAACCTGGGGGTCATCTTATCCTTCTTCCTCTCCTTCCTACGTGCTAAATCACACCAAATCCCTTCCCTGGGCTGCATTCCCCTTGCTTTCAGTTCAAGTACATCTCCGGGCTTGACTAGTACAATACCCTCTTAATGAGAACCGTGACCCTGTCTTCCCCTCTGGGAGAAGCCATCCTCCAGTGGCAGGCGCCTGTAATCCCAGCTACTGGGGAGGCTGAGGCAGGAGAATCACCTGAACCCAGGAGGCGGAGGTTGCAGTGAGCCGAGATCGCGCCACTGCACTCCAGCCTGGCGACAGAGTGGGACTCCGTCTCAAAATAAATAAATAAATAAATATAAAATAAAAGAATGCAGACTAACACGTTCTTTGCAAACTTACTACAGGGTATGAAGAAAGTACACAAAGACAGGAGCAGCCTGTCTTCGAGGTGGCATCACTTCTGCATCCAGCCCAGGATTAAAACCCGGAGCAACTGGCAAGCGGAAATGTTAACGAAAAGGGCATCTGCGTAGCGTGCCAACCTGCCGTGCCACGTAAAGCACGGTCCAGTGACCCAAAACATTTCTGCTCCCAAATAACATTTGGAAAATGCTGACCTACTGCCTAGAAAAGTTCGATCGGCATTCCTGCACACTGCTGTTTTAGAGAGAAGCCCTAAACGATATCTGAAAGTATTTGGTTTATTTTCATCAGCAATGCTTTAGAATCTCGAAAGCCCAGAAAAAAGTTATTTCACGACGTGAAGCTCCCCCCTCGATGTCAATTCGAACACATCCAGGGTTGCGGCTGCCATGTTCGCTCGAACATGTGCAGGACAAACAATGCAACCAGCGGGGAACCGTAAACCTTTTTCCTCGACTTCCTACCACGCACATGAAGTGTTCAAGAAACTTTGCAGGACGTCTCCACATTTCACGAGGCTCCCGTGAACTCCGGAGCCGAGCTAAACAATAGGAAGGACAGATGCTGGGAGTCCCCAAGCATCTAACGCGCCGTTTGTGTTTTCAAAAAACCTCTGCCTGGCGCCCAGGCGGCTTTTCCTGGGCTCCTAGCCTCCTGTGCAAATTGTTCCCATGGTCATTGTCTTCCAGGACGCTCCGCTGCGCACTCGGGGAGCGGGGACAGCGCCCCGCAGAGCGCCGCGCGGTCGAGCCCGGCCAGGTGGCGGAAACGTTCCCGGCCCTTGCAGCGGGGCCCGGGAAAAAGGTGGCCCGGGCGCCAAGGGCGGCTGCCAATGCAACTCGCAACTTTTGAAATCAATCCTTTTTTGCATCATGCAACGGATGCCACCGCTCCTCGGGTTTGCAACCCCCCACCCCTCCCCCGAGACCAATCATTGCCGCGCTCGGGGCTGCACGGCGCCCCCGCCCCCTTCCCGGGCCGCACGCCGCCACCCAGCAGCCAGGGCCGCCTCTTAAAGGGAGGTGGCCGGCCTTAAAGGACCCCCGCGCGCCCAGCCGGCGGGAGCGCGGCGGCCCGGCTCCCGCAGGGCCGCGCCGAGGCAGGCGAGCCCCCGCGGCGCCCAGGCGCGGGCCCGGGCCCCCGCCGCCGCCGCCGCCGCCGGGCGCGGCATTTTTATTCAGGCGACGCTTAAGGGAGCCCGGCCGCGCCCGGTGCATTGTGGGAGCGGCCCGCGGCCCGTTTTCGGGAGGAGGCGGAGGGCGCAAAGCGAGCCGGTAAGCGGCGGGCCCGGCGCGGGGGGGAGGCGCAGGCTTAAAGGGGAATCTGGGTCCGCAGGCCCGCGGCGGCCGTTGCAAATCCCCCTCCGGGCCGCCCGGGACCGCCGGGGAGCCGCGCGCCGCCGGCCCCGCCAGCCCTGCCTGGAGAGGGGCAGCGCCGGGCTTGGTGGGGCCGCTTTAAAAAAGAAGCGCCGCCCGCGCCGCCGCCGCCGCCGCGCGGGGCCGGGGAAGGAGGGAGGGAGGGCGGGGAGGAGCGGAGGGGAGGGCGGCGGCGGCCACGCAGGGGTTAATTTTTTCGCCCGCCGACATTTTTGCGCGGCGGCGGCGGCGGCCCGTGCGCGCGGCGGGAGCGGCCGGCCTGGGGTCGCGGGGTGCCTCCGGGGCCTCCCCGCCTCCCCTTTTCTCCGCGCGGGCCCTGTCGACCCGGGGCGGGTGCGTCCCGGCGTCCTCCCCGGCTCCTGGGCCGCACGCGCGGTGCCCGCCGGCTCCCGCCGCCTCCCGCCGGCCCGAACAGGGATGGCCCGGCCGGGGCCCCGAGCTGCCGCCTCCGCCCCGCCGCCGGCCCGCAGCCCGGGCCTGCTGGGCCTTCCGAGGCGGCGGCGAGGGCCTGAGCCTGAGCCTGAGCCCGAAGGTGTCCCCGGGTTCCTTGCTCCCCTCCCCGGCCGCCTCCGACGCGGGCGTCCTGGAGAGCGCGCCCCATTGTGCGGGGCCGGCGGGGAGGTAGGTCCGGGGTTGGCGGGGCAGCGCGCCGGGCCCACCCCGCTGACCGGCTCCCCGGCTCCCCACGCTCGTTGGAAGAAAAAAAAAAACCAAACCATGGAAATGTGCCCGGGAAGGAAAGGGCTAAACGTTGCTTTAAATATTCATGCCATTGTTTTAAAGGCGTAAACATGTGGCTGCGGGGTCGCCGGGCACCGTCCCTTATTAATGCAAATGGATCCCCCTGGTTCCCTAATCACTGCACATTTCCCCCAGAACCCCCTCCCCCTTCCCATGCCCTCCAAAAATGTAAGAATCTAGTACTTTTTTCATTAGGATGTGAGGCTGATTTGTGTCCTTAGTACCATTTGGAATTTTAAATCTGAGCGCCTTCCTGATACAAGGTGTTTTAAACTTTTTTCCACCCTTAAAACTCTTGAGAAGATAGTAATTTAAAAGGAAGTGATAGCCACACAATTCCCCTCCCCACCTTTTTGGGAGCCAGGAGAGGAATAGATAGGAGGTAGGAAAATAACTGGATGCCTCGTGAGTTGGATTTTTTCTTTTTCTTTTTTTTTTCCTGGTAGGGGTGAGGCTGTGTTAAATGCGAGGTGTTTTTTGAGGAAAGGACTTTGTTGTTTTTGTTGAAAACGCCTTCCAAGTCAAAGTGGTATTCAAACTTTCCCATAACTCTAAGATGGCTTCAAAATTCTCGTCTCTTGTCACTTGCGGCCAGCGCCTGCTCTTTTTGGGCAGGGAGACTTCTTGGAATCGTGTTCGAAGGCTGACTCCTGCTCAGTTGTTACGTTTCCCACCGAAATCATTGCTCATCCCAAACCGTGTTTTTGTGAAGACGGTTTGGATTACTGCCCAAACTCGGGCTTCGTGAGATTTATATGAGCGATGTGCGTCCCAAGGGATGGAAAACTCTATAAATGGGAATTATGTTCTTAATCATAAATTTTATAGGGGAAACCGACCTTAAAACTTGGGGTGTTTGTAATTCTAGTCCCAATAAAGTATCAGTCTGGAGGTTTGTAAACTCGAGGAACACATGTTGTTTTTTCCTTTAGCCCCAAAGGCTAAAAAACGTAGGAGTGCTTGTTCCAGAAACCTAACGGTGGTACACAGGGCCGAAATGCTGCTGATTTAGTATGGCTTAATTTATTGTTTCGGTTCTGCAATGAAATGTTAATGAGGAGTAGCATATTTTGTCAATGATGTGTGTACTAGTTTGTTGGGCTGGATGTTTTGCTTTCTAGGAAATAGCACTGCGTGAAAACATCAGAGAACTTTCCAGGCTTTCGCCTGAAGAACACAGACCTTACTGTGTTAAACTGCCACTGTAGTTTTTAAGTTGTGCCCTTTAGAGAGGACTCCTATTAGTTTTGGATTGCATTGTGTATTTTTTTATTTTTTATTTGAGACGGAGTCTCACTCTCGCCCAGGCTGGAGTGCAGTGGCTCGATCTCGGCTCACTGCAACCTCCGCCTCCCAGGTTCAAGCGATTCTCTTGCCTCAGCCTCCCAAGTAGCTGGGATTACAGGTGCGCACCACCACGCCCAGCTAATTTTTGTATTTTTAGTAGAGACGGGGTTTCGCCATGTTGGCCAGGCTTGTGTCCTGACTTCAGGTGATCCACCCGCGTTGGCCTCCCAAAGTGCCGAGATTGTAGGCATGAGCCACCACGCCCATCCTTGTGTTGTATATTCTTTGGGCTCAGAGGGAAAACGTGTTTTTCTAAAATAAGGATTTAGCATCGTGAAGAATTTTGTCCAATGCATTTACATTAATGCCCTTTTCTGACAAGTTTGTATCGGGCGTTTCATTCTTCTGTGTGATAAAGCAAAAGATATCAAAAGATTTTGCGGAAAAGTCACCTTAGCGAGGACCGCCGCTTTCTGAACCACAGTGCTTCCAGGTTGACACATGAAGTGCCCAGAGGTGCTGTTCTAATGCTGAGTCCTAGAAGAACCTTTGGGATTTGCTGTTCAAGGTGGCACGGTGTCATGTGAACCTGCAGGCTGGCCCTCTTGCCACAGTTAAAACCACAGTCCAGATGTCAGATTTTACATAGATGTCTGTGCTGACGCAGTCCCGTTATGAAAAGATCTATTTTGTCATATGCACTGCTGTGGTGAATATAAGTGGTCTTGATGATTTCAGCCCTTGTCACATTGACTTTTCGCTGTCATGTATTCACTTGATTCGCTGGCAGGTCCCAGTGGGAATTCTTTTCATGGCATCTTTGTGTTTTGGTGACACCCAGGTGGATCCATAAAGAACCCAGCCAACCCGCAGAGGGAGGGGAGGGGCTGAGCTGTGAGGAGAGCGGGGCCCAAGAACCATGTCTACGCGGGAGTCCTTTAACCCGGAAAGTTACGAATTGGACAAAAGCTTCCGGCTAACCAGATTCACTGAACTGAAGGGCACAGGCTGCAAAGTGCCCCAAGATGTCCTGCAAAAATTGCTGGAATCTTTACAGGAGAACCACTTCCAAGAAGATGAGCAGTTTCTGGGAGCCGTTATGCCAAGGCTTGGTAGGTAACCCAGTGTTTCTTTGATGGTCTGCGATCCAATCAGTGAGTCAAAAACTGGATTTCTCGCCTCCCATGTTGCCTATTTATTTTTTATTATTACTTTTTTTGCTTTTATAGATTTGAGGAATACACATGCAGTTTTGTTACATGAATATATTACATAATGGTGAAGACTAGGCTTTTAGTGTAGCCATCACCCAAATAGTGTACATCGTACCCCCTTTATTTTTTTTTAATTTTTGTGGGAAGGATTAGAAGAGCAATCAATGTTATGATTGCTATGTTATGTTCTTGTAACTTATGTAGAGAAAGTACTTGAAACGCATCAAGAGGGGTACTCTTGACAGTTTTTAAATCATGGAGTATGCAATTGAGATTGTTATTACAGTAAAAACTTTTTAATTTTTATTTTCAATTTAATTGAATTGAATTTTCTGTTAGCTGAAGATTAAGCAGAAATACTTTATTCCCTTTTCCTAAAAGGACTCCTAAAATGCTCACATTCCCTTCATTGCCCTAGGAAAGGCGGTTCCAGCCTTAGGGTTCTTGTGCTGTACTTGGATGGCAGTGACTGTGTCAGGAGGGCATTGGGGTTCTCTGCAGGGTGCATCGGGCGAAAAGCGTGTTACGGTGAGGAGGTGGGACTGCTCCAGACCCAGGACTGGATGGATCTGTTCTTGACCCCAGGATGTCATCTGGAACCAGGGCAATGTCTTTTTCTTTACTACATTCCTGATGTCATGAGTGATTTCACTTTTCCCAAACACAGAGCTTAGAAACAAATTCTGGGCTCCTGGGATATTGTTTATTCATGTTTCTTGTGCAGTTTATTAAGTACACAGTACAAGACTGTGATCACTTTTCTTGTGTTCGACGCATAGTTTCGGAGGTTTGGATGTTCGATAATTACTGTGTGACTTGATCAGTTTTCTTCCTTTTTTTTTGAAATGGATTCTCACTCTGTCACCCAGGCTGGAGTGCAGTGGCGTGATCTTGGCTCACTGCAACCTCTGCCTCCTGGGTTCATGCGATTCTTCTGCCTCAGCCTCTTGAGTAGCTGGGATTATAGGCCCCTGCCACATGCCCGGCTAATTTTTGTATTTTTAGTAGAGATGGGAGTTTTACCATGTTGGCCAGGCTGTTCTCGAACTCCTGACCTCAGGTGATCTGCCTGCCTCAGCCTCCCAAAGTGCTGGGATTACAGGTGTAAGCCACCACACCCAGCCAAGGTTTTCATTTCATTTGTTTTTGCCCATTATTTGGTAAGGTTCATTGGTTATGAGCCTGGGGTCTCCTTTACTCCCAGATAGAGAAAGCAGATAAAAGCAGACTTGCTTTTGTTGGAAAGGAAGAAATGTTACACCCCAGTCGCTGGTGACCTGCAGGACTTTGAGGAGCTCAGTTTGAAAACAGTTCCTGCCGTC